>NC_000012.12:32734370-32887065 GCF_000001405.40 Homo sapiens | reverse complement strand
ATTAGACTTTCATCTGCTTTGAAACAATTTTTCACCATAGTGTTCCCTTTTTTTTTTTCCTTTTTGAGACAGAGTCTTGCTTTCTGTCACCCAGCCTGGAGTGCAGTGGCCCAACCTCAGCTAACTGCAACTTCTGTCTCCAGGGCTCAAGCAATCCACCCACCTCAGCTTCCCAAGTAGCTGGGACTACAGGCCCATGCCACCATGCCCAGCTAATTTTTAAATTTTTAAAATTTTGTAGAGACGAGATCTCACTATATTGCCCAGGCTGGTCTCAAACTCTTGGACTCGAGTGATCCACCCACCTCAGCCTCCCCAAGTGCTAGGATTGCTAGTGTGAGCCACCCTGCCCAGCCAACTATAGTTTTCTAAACCAACAAATTCTACTTATTTTCCAGCCTAAGCAAATGCTTACTTGGGCTGTTGTGATTTCCATCAATATCTGGTTGTTCTTCTTGGAAAGTAAGAATAGAAGATAAAATATAGTTTTAAAAAATATGTAAGTCCAAGGAAATGAATCGTATGTTTTATGCCAACACAGACAGACAAAAAACAAAAAAAATTCCTTCACCAACTCAGGAGTGCGGACATACGTATGGTCTTTGATGAGTCTCAGTATATTTTCTGCTTTCTTTTAAGCTCCTACTATTGCTAGTAAATGACTTTAAGGATCCATTCAAATATGAATTGCTATACAAATTCCTCTGAATAAGTGGCAAGATCCCATGTCTTACCTGGAATAACATGTCCTCAACTTTACTGTAATGGGAGAAGTTAAATCTTTTAAGATTTGTGGAGAACGAGAGCTGTTGCAAGCCAGAGATTACTGTAGAAAGACCAAATAACAGTAAGATGATAAGCTTTTAGACTTTCAGGCTCTTTCCTTCTAAAAGACCATCGTGAATCCACACTGTGAGGACAACTGCTCACGGTTGTTAGCCCAATTACCTGCAGCATTTAAATCAATACTAATAGCGAACACCTGCTGATTTCTGTGGTTACATTTAACCACACCTGTTTTTGTGGGCACCTCTACATGTATCTTCATCTCCAGAAATCCTCCTTTTAGAGCTCAGTGTGAACCAAATCACTTTTTTTAAACCACACTCAGTGCTAGAAGATTGAAAGAAAAGACGCTTTTCTGAATGTGAGTGCACCTCTCTTCTCTCTAATAGAAGCAGGCTATATAAAGATCTTGCTTGTTTAGCAGTTCTCTGTCATTTGCTTACTATAAAAGAAACTGTAGTTGGTTTTTTATAAATATGCCCAGAAACAGGTAATGGAACCACAATAGAGACTTGTCAATTTGATTTCATAAATACATTCAATCTAACCAATTACATAATAAAATTGTTCACAAAACTGTGATTATGAAAATCAACTTAGTTTTTTTTTTGGGGGGGGGACGGAATCTTGCTCTGTTGCCCAGGCTGGAGTGCAGTGGCACAGTCTCACCTCACCGCAACCTCTGCCTCCTGGGTTCAAGCCCGGCCCCCAAGTAGCTGGAATTACAGGTGCCCAACAGCACACCTAGCTAATTTTTGTATTTTAGAGACAGGGTTTGTATTTTATGTTTTAGAGACAGGCTTTCCCCGTGTTGGCCAGGCTGGTCTCAAACTCCTGACCTCAAGTGATCTGCCCACCTTGGCCTCCCAAAGTGCTGGGATTACAGGCGTGAGCCACTATGCCTGGCCTTATTGACTATTTTAACCCTGACAATAATTCATTATTTCGAGCAATGTTTGTATTGGTGACCAAACACAAAGCTTCTTTTTCCATAACAGCTGCTTAGGAATCATATCATTCCAATGAACACTCAGATTGGGAAAGGGAGAAAATTACATTGTCCTGTGACGGCTTCACCTCTGCAATTTTCTGAGGAATTTAGAATCCTACCACCATCCAAACAGACCTCCTTCACCATTACCCGCCCCCGCAATTGGTTTGACCTGAATTGCTTGTTATTTGAGAAGAGTGGAGTTTAAAGTTGCTCTGCAACTACCTACTTTATTTTCCTTAAAATGGGCTCCATAAAATGTGCATGGTATTTTTAGAAAAAAGTATAGGTAATGTTGCCTGAGCCCATGTTAATTTGAAATATTTCCTAGTAAATCATCCCCTTCTTTAGGAAACATCGAAAGCACATTATGCACTGTGCAGGTGAAATGAATGGCTGGAAAACACAGTAATATCATCGTGCTCCTCAGTGACGGGTCAATCAGAAGTCACCAGAAAAAGTCCAATTCAAGACCAGTGGTAAACTTAGCAGAAAAAAAAAAAAAACTGCTCTACAACACAGTGTAAACCATGCACACTAGTTTATCCCTGTTATTAGAATAGACTAATTCATGAAAAAATGTGAAAATCAAATTTTTATGACTCAAATTCTATTTAGAAACCTTATCTCATTTTTGCATATTGCTTGTGTAGAGGAGAAAAGTTTTCTTTTCTTACCCGTCACCAGGTTTATGCCTGAGACCCCTATAACAAAAGACAGATTAAAAAGAGAAAAGCATAACAAATTTGTTTAATATAAGTTTTATGTGGCATGGGAGTCTTCAGAAATGAAGACCCAAAGAAACAGGGAAGACTGTATATTTATTTTTTTTCTTGAGATGGAGTCTCACTCTGTTGCCCAGGCTGGAGTGCAATGGCGTGATCTTGACTCACTGCAACTTCTGCCTCCTGGGTTCAAGTAATTCTCCTGCCTCAGCTTCCCAAGTACTTGGGATTACAGGTGCCTGCCACCACGCCCGGCTAATTTTTGTCATTTTAGTAGAGACGGGATTTCACCATGCTGGCCAGGCTGGTCTTGAACTGCTGACCTCAGGCGATCTGCCCACTTGGACCTCCCAAAGTGCTAGGATTACAGGCGTAAGCCACCTTGCCTGGCAGAAGACTGTATTTTTATAGACAGTCATGCAGAAGTCTGATGAGACAAAGGTGGGCCTGATCTAATGGTAATAAACTGAGGGAATTTAGCAAGGCTTCTTTGTTCAAATTCTTCCCTTTATGACATTCCTTTCCTCCAGGTATAGGGAGGATCCTTCTGGAATGAGTCTTTGACCTAATTCAAAGGAAGGTCAGCTTGATTTTATATGGTCTGCTTCAAGGGAGAAGGGGTGAGAGGAAGGCGTAAGGATACACTTCCTGCGCCTGCTGCTTCCTCAAATGCCAAGTGCCATATTTTGGGATGACACGTCCTGAAACCCATCACTTCACAATTTTGAAAGCGTTTGAGTCTATGCTTTCTCAGGTAAACCCTCTCTCTCAGCAGTCCTATTAGTAGCTGGAATTACGGGAAACAGGCATCTAACTGATTTGTCCAGACACATACAAAGCGGTAGAATAGGGGTTCCAGATGAAGCCTACGGATTTCTTCAATGTAGGGAAGATGCCTACTTCTTTTTCGAAATAAACAAATCCTTTGAAATAGAATCACACCTCAATTTTCAGTGTAAGAAAATCTGGATTTTCATGTTGGATTTGTTTAAAGCTGGATGCACCTTTGTGTATGTTTTTGTTTGCTTTCTTCTATTTTCAGAAAAGGACATGGCTGAGTTATTTTATATGTTCAACGGTCATCACGATATCATCTTATTCTCTGAACAGAAAATGACTTATTTTAAAGAAATTCATTTCCATCCTTATTAGTATTTACTTTAAAAAAATTTTACTCAGTCCAAAATTTCTTTAAAATCTTAGAACACAGCTATTAATTCATCTTTAATCCAGCATACTGATCTCAAACTCATGACTGCCTAGGCAAATTAGTCTGCAGTATTTGTTGTTTGAGATTGGCTATTTATCCAGAAAAACCATCGATTGTGCCAACTTGCAGGCTGAATATCTGGAGTCACATCTTTCATGTGTATTCCACAGGGAGAGTGTCTGTGATTTAAAAATTCAATCTTATTTTTTTCCCTGTTTCCAACTACTTTGTAGTTATTTGGCGAACCATTAAAACAGCCTCAGTTCATTCATCTGAAAACTGAAGAAGCAGCTTTCTTCTAAGAACTTATGTTGGCAAATAAAGAATTAATATTTACAGAGTATTTGGAGTTGCGTAAGTGAAGGTTTTAGAGGAAAGAAAAATAATTTTTTTGTCCTCAGATCAAAACTATAATAATAATCCCTCTAAGGCCTTGATAAATGACAATGTCATAGTAGCCACCTTGCAGTCAGACAGCAGAGACCAGGGGAAAGGAGGAACCCAGGTTGATTTAATAATCAACCCTGACTATTAAATCTCTTTGCAATTTAAAGCAGGTAATTTAAGTTTCCCTATTTATAAACAGAGATGATAGTAGCTGGCTCCGCATCACAGAATATTATAAAGGAACATAAAATAATTTGAGCTCCTTAAAGGAAAAGTCACATTGAAATGTAAGGAGTTCACACAAGTTGCTTTAAAAAGGCTTAAAACTCACAGCAACAACTTGAATGTTTAATGTCAGTTAAACATTTTAGTTCAATAAACCTGATTATAAATCTCACTGATTAATTAGCTATTTGATAGGAGATACTGTTTCACTGGGTCCTGTCCAAAGATTCTTACACATTTAGAAAACCTTTGCAGGGATCTCAGCTTAAAGATGGAAGAAGCACGCCATTAACTGTTCCTGAATATCTACCTACTCCTGGAATTAGGGCAAGGGTATATTCCAGGTGATGATGGGCTAAAGGGGCTGATTTACAGAGTTTTTCTTGAATTCCTAAAATTGCCTGCTTTCATCACCTGCCGTTTTATTATAGAGTAACAGGAATTAATGGTTCCAGCTACGGTCCATAAATGACCATTAGTACTTTGCCATTCTAGATTGTCCCTGACTTTCCTAATTCAGTTTTCATGTGGTCTAAAGGTTTGAACATGGATAGCCCTAAACTAATTTTTATAAAGACAGTAAATTGGATTTCTTATGTATCAGCTAACTAATAATGTTCTGCCTGGCTGTGGGCTTTGTACAAAGGCTTGTTTTATTGGGGGTGGGGATAGTGTAAGCACTCTCCCCAGCCACATCCCTCTACCCCGAACCCTTCCCCTTTCTGCATATTCCCAGTGCTGAGGGTACTCTGGCCCCCGGACTCTTCAGGATTAGAACCTTTTTATGTTCCCTGTACCTGGCCTGCTAGCCTCCTTTCCCACAGCAGCCTGGCCCTTGCAGGCCTACCTCCCTAGTGGCCTGGGGAGGAGAGAAGGAGTGCAGAGTAGAGGATAAAGGGTTAGCCTAGGCGCGAGCCTCAGCCAACATAAAATAATAATATGAGGCCAGACACGGTGGCTCACAGAGGCTGAGGCAGGAGAATTCCTTGAACCCAGGAGGCAGAGGTTGCAGTGAGCCGAGATCGTGCCATTGCACTCCAGCCTGGGCAACAAGAGCGAAACTCCGTCTGAAAAAATAATAATAACAATAATAATATGAGTTGCTTTCAACTTACTTATAATAATAAATGTCAGCGTCCTTAAGGATCCAACTGTTAATGTGTCCTTGATTTCTCTCTTAAATTGGCTGTCGGGTCATGGAAAAGATTGCTTTCAAGTAAGGGAGGCTGAGGCAGAAGGATCACTTGAGCTCAGAGGTTGGAGTTCAGCCTGGGCAACATAGCGAGACTCCATCTCTAATAAAATTTATAGAAAAAAATTTTTTTTCTTTATTTAAGGTCCAAGTTCCAGCCGTTCTTTGCCATAGAGATTAAAAATTAAGTGGCTGCCTGACCTTTTGCCAGCCCTTGTGGAGAAATCAAGCCCCTGGAAACAGGAGATGCCTGGTTTATCTCAACTGCTCTTGTCTCTAGGGTGACAGTTACAAGCCTGCCACTGCCTCCTCACAAGACTCCTTGAGGCCTGAAAATTGTTTATCAGGCAGATTGTTTGGCTATAGGAAATAAGGACACGTGTACAAACATAATTTAGGATGGATTTAGACTTTTTAGCTCTCTGGCAAAAATAATTTCAAATTACCATTCTCCCTCCCCTTGAATGTATCATCAGTATTTTGAAATTTTGTCTTTATAACAGTTTATTGGAAAAGTTATGTTGATGTGTTCCCATTGTACTGGAAAGGAGCACCCTGTGTTGTTGTATTCTCAACATCTTTCATGAGTCTCTGAAGCCTAGAAGAGTTAATTGAGTATATTTTCCCTCTGATTTCTAAAAAATGCTACATGACAGAAAAAAATTTCAGTTAAATGTAAGAAAGTAGATATTACTTGGCTTTTGGAGATTGTTGATTATTTTGATTAGCCTTTTTTTAAGGCAGTAAGAGAAAACTCAAAAAAAGCTGAGAGAAGGATAAAGGAGGCAGAAGAGGGACACAACATACTGCTTTCCACCACTCCCCCCTCCTCAGACAGGAGTATGTGAAGATATATGAGACAGGCATCAGTTGAATCCCTGTAGGCTTCACAGAGCTGAGCACAAAGGGCTGGCTGCTGTCTGTGTTTTCATGAGAGTGGGCTGGCTATTAGACCACCAAACAAAAGAGGGGCCAGGTGATTCCACAAAAGCAGCCATTTGGATGGAGCATAGAGGTTGATTTCCTTTCCTGCCTAACTCTCCTGTTGCCAAATATCTCAACCCCAGCATTGGCCTGAAGTTGATCCATGTTTCCCTTGATCATGCTGATCTACCCTGTTGTTTTTCTTGCTTTTGTTTTTGTTTTTTTGAGACAGGAGTCTTGCTCTGTCGCCCTGGCTGGAGTGCAGTGGCGCTATCTCGGCTCACTGCAACCTCTGCCTCCCGGGTTCAAGCGATTCTCCTGCCTCAGCCTCCCGAGTAGCTGGGATTACAGGCGCCCACCACCACCCCCGACTAATTTTTGTATTTTTAGGAGAGACCGGTTTCACCATGTTGGCCAGGCTGGTCTCAAACTCCTGACCTCATGATCCGCCCACCTCGGCCTCCCAAAGTGCTGGGATTACAGGTGTGAGCCACCACGCCCGGCCTATCCTGTTGTTTATACAAGCTGTCTTATCTAGTAGTGCTGAGTCACCATTATATTTATTGCCTACACCTGCTTATTACAAGAAGCTTCCGAATTCCTGCCTTGGGAACAGAGTTCTGTGACTCGGGAAACTGAATTTTATAGTCTCGACCAGCTAAACCAGACAATGAGTCCCAAATTTTTCAGCACTATAACAACCAAACATTTTTAGATTTTTGTGAATTTCCTCTCCCTTCTTTTTCTTTTTTTAAATTCAACTTTCATTTTGAAAACTTTTTTTTTTTTTTTTTGAGACAGAGTTTCACTCTTGTTGCTCAGGCTGTAGTGCAATGGCGCAATCTCAGCTTCACTGCAACCTCCACCTCCTGGGTTCAAGCGATTCTCCTGCCACAGCCTCCCGAATAGTTGGGATTACAGGTGCCTGCCACCACGCACAGCTAATTTTTTGTAGTTTTAGTAGAGAGGGGCTTTCACCATGTTGGCCAGGCTGCTCTTGAATGCCTGACCTCGGGTGATCCACCCACCTCTGCCTCTCAAAGTTCTGGGATTACAGGTGTAAGCCACCGTGCCCAGCCAAAACTTTCTTTTTGAGACAGAGTTTCACTTTTGTTGCCCAGGCTGGAGTGCAATTGTGTGATCTTGGCTCACTGCAACCTCTGTCTCCCGAGTTCAAGTGATTCTCCTGCCTCAGCCTCCTGAGTAGCTGGGATTACAGATGCCCGCCACTATGCCCAGCTAATTTTTGTATGTTTAGTAGAGATGGGTTTCGCCATGTTGGCCAGGCTGGTCTTGAACTCCTGACCTCAGGTGATCCACCTGCCTCTGCCTCCCAGAGTGCTGGGATAAGAGGCGTGCGCCACCACACCCAGCTGAAAAACTTTTGTAGAGAATGTTTTGATAACCTTTGATCACTTGCCATATCCCAGGGTGGTGTGAAACTAGCATTTAAAAACATTAACGTACGTTTAATACTTGTTCTTGGCCTTCATTACTTAAATTTAAAAGTTTAATACATCATTGTTATACAGTCTGTAAATATTAATTAGCCTACTTGTATTCTGAGTTATTTTAATATTTGCTTGATTGCAGGAAATCTTCACCGAACCAGCAGTGTTCCTGAGTATGTCTACAACCTACACTTGGTTGAAAATGATTTTGTTGGAGGCCGTTCCCCTGTTCCTAAAACCTATGACATGCTAAAGGTAGGATATCAAAGAATGTAACCCTAGTGATCAGATTACTACCATGAAAATATTTTCAAACTTCCTAAGATTATTTTTGAGTGTTTACTTTTCCCAAGTATTATCATTTCCTAAATGAGTTTTGAGAAAATTGATATTTATGAGGATACCATGGAAAACTAGGGATGTGAAACATTCTTACATCCTAGTGCAAATAAATATGACTCAAGTCAACCAAGTCTTATTTTCAAAAAGCCTTTACCCAGAAAGGGGCAAACTTCTCGTCATCTGATTCAGAGAAACGGACATGTTGGGTAATAGTCCCAGAGTAATTAGTCCTCAGCAAAGTTGAAATTTGATTTATGCCCCCTTTAAACTTTATTTCTCTCATGTGCAGGCTGGCACAACTGCCACTTATGAAGGTCGCTGGGGAAGAGGAACAGCACAGTACAGCTCCCAGAAGTCCGTGGAAGAAAGGTCCTTGAGGCATCCTCTGAGGAGACTGGAGATTTCTCCTGACAGCAGCCCGGAGAGGGCTCACTACACGCACAGCGATTACCAGTACAGCCAGAGAAGCCAGGCTGGGCACACCCTGCACCACCAAGAAAGCAGGCGGGCCGCCCTCCTAGTGCCACCGAGATATGCTCGTTCCGAGATCGTGGGGGTCAGCCGTGCTGGCACCACAAGCAGGCAGCGCCACTTTGACACATACCACAGACAGTACCAGCATGGCTCTGTTAGCGACACCGTTTTTGACAGCATCCCTGCCAACCCGGCCCTGCTCACGTACCCCAGGCCAGGGACCAGCCGCAGCATGGGCAACCTCTTGGAGAAGGAGAACTACCTGACGGCAGGGCTCACTGTCGGGCAGGTCAGGCCGCTGGTGCCCCTGCAGCCCGTCACTCAGAACAGGGCTTCCAGGTCCTCCTGGCATCAGAGCTCCTTCCACAGCACCCGCACGCTGAGGGAAGCTGGGCCCAGTGTCGCCGTGGATTCCAGCGGGAGGAGAGCGCACTTGACTGTCGGCCAGGCGGCCGCAGGGGGAAGTGGGAATCTGCTCACTGAGAGAAGCACTTTCACTGACTCCCAGCTGGGGTAAGTCCCCTCCTGACTCTGCAGTTCAGTCATTGCCAGCACATTCTGTTCCCACAGCCCTGACAGCATGAGCTGGCACTTCTGGGGCTTGAGAGAAGGGCTTCCAGAGATAAGTGATTAAAATAATGACTTTTCAGGCAGCTGCCTAATTGACAGATCAGCCTATTTACCTCAGGGACAGGGGCCAAGCTACCTGCTCACATGGCAGCTTTGTATGGAAATGTGACATTTAGTCCATCTGTTCCAGATTAGATGCTGGCTGAAGGGACCCTACCCCTCAGCCATATGAAAATCTGCTCTAAACTCCAAAGTAGGCCAAGAATTGGAGAATTGCATGCGTATTTTCTTCATCATCCCATGAAATAAAAGGAAAAAATGCTTATTCTTAGCACGAATGCCATTTGGATAACTATGACTGTAAAAAGAGCTAAGGAAAGATGGCTGACTTCTAGATGTCTTTTTTCTTCCTTTGGTACTTGGTACCTTTTAGATTTCTAGTGTCAGTGATTTGAAGGGGTATTCTTTTGGCAGTATTAAATTATTAAAATAACTGAATTTTTAAGTCATTCCTTTCCATTCCTATTTACTTTATAGCTTGACTAATTTAGTGTTTGGAACTTAACCCTTATTCAAGTTTAATGCCTGATCACAAATTTTATAAACTGTGCACGTTACTAAGAGAAAGATTGAGAAATGGATGGCTGATTAGATCAGTAACTCCTGCAATAATGATCTAACATCATTAGGCTAAAACATTAGATATGTTATTGTCATTTGATTGCTAAAGTTGTCTAATGATAGTTGTTACCTCTAAACATCCCTTCAAGTGAAATTGTACAGCATGCTCACTGACCAGGTAGCATCATTAATAAACTACTTCTCAAAATGATGAGGGCTAATCTAATCTTAACACAGGAAATATTTTTTATGATGTAAAATTCACCATGAGATTTCTAACATTTCTTATAGTAAGCAGACCTTAGGCAATATGAGCATACTTACAAAGAGGAAAAATAAGCCGGGAGCAGTGGCCCAGGCCTGTAATCCCAGCACTTTGGGATGCCCAGGCGAGCGAATCACTTGAGTTTAGGAGTTCAAGACCAGCCTGGGCAACATGATGAAACCCCATATCTACGAGCAATACAAATATTAGCTGGGTGTGGTTGTGTGCACGTGTGGTCCTAACTACTCGAGAGGCTGAGGCGGGAGGATTACTTGAGCCCAGGAGATGGAGGTTGCAGTGAGCCAAGATTTGTGCCACTGCACTCCAGCCTGGGGAACACAGTGAGACCTTGTCTCAAAAAAAAAAAGAGAAAGTGTATCAGGTCATTGTTTATGGAGGAAAAAGCTGATAAAGGCTTTTAAACAGGTAATTCAAAATTTATGGAATGCCTACCATAGCCTAGGATTTGTGATAGCCACAGTTTTAGCAAAATGATTTTAACAGTAACAAAATTATTATCTGACATCCTCCAACAACTGGCATTCTCTCCCTCCATCTCTGTGTCCCTTGCTTCTTGAACCACCCTGTCACTTCCCAGTCTCTCGTCAACCCACTGCAATATGATTTCAGTCCCCTCCATTCCACCTAAACAGTCTCCTGACAAATGTAGCAATGATGGCCTTATCTGCTACATCCTAAGCAGACACTATATTGAGTAATATAAGCACTGCTTATATTACTCAACCTGTGGGTGGTGTTTGAGACACCATGAAATTCTCTCATCCCTTGGTTTTCAGGGCACCAGCTTCCCCTGGTTTTCCACTCACCTCTCCAGCCATTCTTTGTTAGTGTTCTCTGCGTGCTCCCTTTCTGCCTGCTCAAAGAAGGCATCTTCAGTAACCCTTCTATTCCAAGTCTTGATGCTCTTCCAGAGAGGCTCTGTGTACCTCACTTTTATCCTTATGGTTCTCAAAGTTTTGTCTGCAATTCCATCCTTGATGCCAAATTCTGGACCTATATGAAAATGTAACAACCTCCTGGAAATTTCACACTCAGTATATCCTAAACTAAACTCATCATCTCCCTATCCTCAACTTCCACCCATCTCCTCCTGCTGTAGTCTACTATTTTCAAACCTGGAAGTCATTCTTATCTTCTCCCTCTGTAGTCACCTATCACCAAGCCATATTTTTCCTTCTATGATGGGTCTTGAATTTTTACCCTTCTTTCCATTTCCATTACACAGGGCTCTCTGCCTCTGGTCTTGCTCAGTCAGAACCGTTCTCTAGGACTGTCAGAATTATCTTTCCACATGTGATTGTTTATAACCCTTCCATAATTCCACTAAGTGTTCATGCTTTTAGGCATGACCTACAAGCCCCATTGTGTTTTCAGCTCTGCTTATCACTTCAGCCTCTTCTCCTTCTACTCTTCTCTGCCATTCATCACCACCATCCCCAAACATACCCACATACCAATACCCAAACCACCTGGAACCTCTTTACTTTCCTTAATGCAAGATATTTATCCATATTCATTCTCTCTCTCTTTCCTTCTTTTCCCCCACTCCACACCTTTACATATGCAGCTCTACTTTTGTCTGACTACTTATAATTCTGGATTTAGCTCAGATACCACCTATTTTCTGACCACTTCCTTCCCAGTCTAGCTTAGGTGCCCCAGATAGCAGCCTTGTGTGAGTGTCTCTATCAGAAAAATATATTGTGGCTATTCATTTGCTTATCTGTTCTCCCTCTGGACTTTGAGATTTTTGTGAATGCTCAATCATCTTTATATTCTCAGCACCCTAAAATGGAAGTAGGCCTATAGTAGGCACTGTATAAATATATGATGAGGCCAGCACAGTGGCTCACATCTGTAATCCTAGCACTTTGGGAGGCCCAGGCTGGAGGATCGCTTGAGCCCAGGAGTTTGAGACCAGCTTGGGCAAAATAGGGAGACCCCGAGACCCCACTTCTATTAAAGATAAACAACTTAGCCTGGCGTGATAGTGCCCACCTGTGGTCCCAGCTACTCCGGAGGCTGAAGTGGGAGGATTGCTTGAGCCAGGGAGGTTGAGGCTACAGTGAGCTGTGATTGTGCCACTGTACCCCAGCCTGGGCAACAGAATGAGATCTTCTTTCAAAAAATAAGTATATGGTGAAAGAGTGAAGGAATTAAAGGAAGGAGAAATGAAATATAAATTTTACTTTTTGCCATCTAGGTTCTTTTGTTGCTCAAATTCTAGAAGTATTAGTCATACTATTTTTGGATTATTGTTTTAATAGACAGGGTAAATTGTATTATAATATTTAATCATATTTCCAAGAGTAGAAGGAACACTTGGGGTCAAGAAATTTAAAAATAATGAGTAAGAAATCTCTTCCTGAGATTTCCCCAAATTCTAGAGAGTAGAAATCATAGAAATCAACTTTTTTTCTCTGATTATGAAAGGAAAATTTGGCTCTCTGTGAAAAGGAGAGGGAGCCAGACGTATTTTGTGTAATGAGGAAGATAGATGCCCAAGGTGGTGCCTGTGCCTGTCTGACCTCCCCCTTTCCTCTGCTGGGCTCCACGCCTCATTTCAGTTCCCCAGGCTGCTCCCTGGGACACCTGCCCTGAGACCACACACTGTGTTCTCTTTGGTCCCGCATTGTCAAACTTTGTCCAGCCCTTTTTTGGGGGGGATTTAAGTTTTTATGCCTAGTGAAACTCCCACATGTAAAGGAGTATTCTTTCATATATGTTGAATATTAACTGGACAAAACCATAAACCTGCATAATGACTTAAGGTATTAAACAATGGACCTGGCTTTCCAAAAGAAGAATGGCTGGTTAAACAGTTACTAATGCAGCTAAAAACTGAGACTTGGAGTGTGAGAGAGACAAACTGATGAAACCGATGTTCTAAATCAAACTGATGAAAAAGGTTTTTAAGAATCACCACAAAAAAAATTATAGATGAATTTTTCTAAAACCATGATTTATGACCAGTTGGAGGCTGATGGTTCTGCAAATGAGTAGTAGGATCTTCATAGGTCCTTCCCAGTAAGCATCACAAAAGATGAAAATGGGCCGGACGCGGTGGCTCACGCCTGTAATCCCAGCACTTTACGAGGCCGAGGTGGGCGGATCACTTGAGGTCAGGAGTTTGAGACCAGCCTGGCCAACATGGTGAAAACCCGTCTCTACTAAAAATACAAAAGTTAGCCAGGCATGGTGGTGGATGCCTGTTATCCCAGCTACTCAGGAGGCTGAGGCAGGAAAATTGCTTGAACCCAGGAGGCGGAGGTTGCAATGAGCTGGTATCGTGCCATTGCATTCCAGCCTGGGCGAAGGAGCAAGACTCAGTCTCCAAAATAATAATTAAATAAATAAAAGATGAAAATTGAGTGAGATGTATGATGGTCTAGGAGAGGAGCAGTGAAAAATAGGATATATCATCAAGTGCTAGGTTGTGTGATACATATTAGTGTCTACAGAAATTTAAAGAACACAAGAGCAGGGCCGGGCATGGTGGCTCACACCTGTAATCCCAGCACTTTGGGAGGCTGAGGCTGGCAGATTGCTGGAGCCCAGGAATTTGAAACCAGCCTGGGCAACATGGCAAAACCCCACTTCTACAAAGTACAAGAATTAGCTGGGCATGGTGGTGCATGCCTGTAGCCCCAACTACTCAGGAGGCTGAGGCAACAGAATCACTTGAGCCTGGGAGGTCCAGGCTGCAGTCAGCCATGATCGTGACACTGCACTCCAGCCTGGGCAACAGAGTGAGACCCTGTCTCAAAGCAAAACAAACAAAACCCACAAGAGCATCGTGCTCTGGGATTAGTTGAGGGAGACTAAGCAGAGAGGGTGGATCTTCTCTAGGATTGACAGTCAAATTTGTGACCAAGAGCACTGCAGAGCAGAAAACAGATCATATTGACTTCCCTCCACGTCCTCTTAATTACTACCTGCTTTAGTTCTTTAATTTTTCATCTCTTTCAACTCTACCTTTTTTTTCCATTTCCATTTTTAACAGCCCAGTTCAAGGCTTTTTTGCCTCAGCTGAACCTTTTATAGTGCCCTCAACGCTGTCTCTCTTTCAAGAAACACATATCCATTCCAGAGTCATCTTTCCAAAGCATTGCTTTCATCCTACTTTAAAATATTTGTGGGGATTTGCATTTACTGAGCGTCTGACAATACTTGTAGGAGCTATCCATTCATCATTTTATGTTTGCTTTGCCTTCAGAGGTGTAGCCATATTCTAATATCAGGGGAACCAGCCTGGGCAGGGCTGTGTTGTTAGTTGGCAGGAATGCTGGCTACGGGGAGATTACACACGCACACAAGTTACTGGGTTGTTTTGTTTTGTTTTTTTTTGAGACAGACTTTCACTCTTGTTGCCCAGGCTGGAGTGCAATGGCACGATCTCGGCTCACTGCAACCTCCATCTCCCAGGTTCAAGCAATTCTCCTGCCTCAGCCTCCCAAGTAGCTGGGATTACAGGTGCCCGCCACCACGCCCAGCTAATTTTTTGTATTTTTAGTAGAGACGGGGTTTCACCATGTTGGCCAGGCTGGCCTTAAACTCCTGACCTCAGGTGCTTCACCCACCTCAGCCTCCCAAAGTGCTGGAATTACAGGTATGAGCCACCACCGCCCGGCCAAGTTACTGGGTTTTTTTCTCCCCCTGTAATGTCTCGTATTCTGACCAGTGGTAGTTTACACTGCTTTCTCTTACATTTTTAAATTTATACTGATATCATTTAAAAAATTGTTGAAATGACTTACTTCTGGAGAATATGTTCAGGGGTCAGTGGGGCTAGGGAACAACTTCTCTTCCTGATCCTCCAGCCCAGGCCCATCGCCATCTCCCAAGACACATTTCTGCAGCCTTCAAGAAATGTTTTATAAGTGAGTGGGGAGAGAGAGAAGGAGGGAGGAAGACAGAGAAAAGGAGTTGGAACGGGGGAATGCTATAGGAGAATAGAGGAAAGAATAGCTCTAGCTGTTCTAGGGGATGGGGTACAGAAAAGATTTCACAGAAATGAAGATATTTGAGCTGAGACAGGAGAATTGCTTAAGACAAGGAGTTGGAGACCAGCCTGGGCAATATAGGGAGGCCTCATCTTTACAAAAAATTTAAAAATGTGGCTGGGCACGGTGGCCCACGCCTGTAATCCCAGCACTTTGGGAGGCTGAGGTGGGTGGATCACGAGGTCAGGAGTTCGAGACCAGCCTGGCCAACATGGTGAAACCCCATCTCTACTACAAATAGAAAAATTAGCCGGGCGTGGTGGTGGGTGCTTGTAATCCCAGCTACTCTGGAGGCTAAGGCAGGAGAATTGCTTGAACCTGGGAGGCAGAGGTTGCAGTGAGCCGAGATCGTGCCACTGCACTCCAGCCTGGGTGACAGAGCAAGACTCCGTCTCAAAAAAAATAAAAAAAAAAAATTAGCCGGGTATGGTGGCGTGCACCTGTAGTCCCAGCTATTCAGAAGGCTGAAGTGGGAGGATCGCTTGAGCCCAGGAGGTTGAGGTTATGGTGAGCTATGATCACATCACTGCACTCTCACACCTGAAACAGAATAGGACTGTCTCTCTAAAAAAAGAAGAACAAGAAGAAATGAAGATACTTGAATTGAGTCTTGAAGAATGGGTGAGAATTAGGTAGTATGATAAGCTTCCTGGAAAAGTCAAAGAAGGTGGCTTGTGAAGAAGGTGGCAGTGTTTAGAGAAGGATTAAAAGCCTGGTGTGATTGGAGGGGTGTAGTAGATCCAAGGAGGGGGAGGAAAAGAGGTTGAGGATGACAGGAAATGGAGTCAGACTTGGGCCAGAATGTATGCCGTGTTATGGAGTTGGACTTGATAGATAGTCAAACAGAAAGTTGACCCCCTGACAGCTGTAGTAAACCTTGCTGAGGAAGTCTTCACTTAGTTTAGGAATTTTTTTAGTGATAAAGTGAAATCGCATTGGATTGCCTAAGTGTGAACACAGAGCTTCTATGTGAATCATGTTCAGGAAAATAAAGGATTAGAGTAGTGGAATTATTTGTGGGTGTTAGAGATGGGAAATTCAAACTTTCCTGAGTCATGTATGGCTTATGAAATGGATTAATGGCTCAATCTTTTTTTAAAAAAAAAGCTGCATAACAGAAGGCTGTTCTTATGAATGATCTTTCATCAGTTAAAACAACCGTGATGGCTGGCAAAGACTTTGCCATTGAGCTTGAGACTAGACTTACAGAGTTTTGACTTCTCTGTAAAGGCCTCAGTCCATGAATGTAAAATATTCCCATCTCCTTTAAAAGGTGTAATATCCTCTAATATTAGATAAAAATATTAGATAAAAGTGACTCAAATTCTAGTTTTAGTGGTAATAGCCTGCATTTTTTTTTTACTAATTATAATTGAC
Organism: Homo sapiens; assembly: GCF_000001405.40. NCBI lineage: Eukaryota > Metazoa > Chordata > Mammalia > Primates > Hominidae > Homo > Homo sapiens. Next base: position 32,870,501 of record NC_000012.12, on the reverse strand, counting down.
TCATGAGGCACATTAAAAATATGAGATCATTATATAATTCTCAGTATAGATGCCAGAGATTTTCTGCTTCACTTTTAATACCCTTTATACTTATGAGGTAACCCTTCTGTGTTTGAACACGTGTTTCAGAAGCAGGGGGTATTAGTTTTTGGTCATGAGGCGCATTACTCCTTATCACCCCACCTGCACCGCCCCCACCCACACACAGGCACACCCTTCATAAGGCTGTACACACTAACACCTGTACACATGTGCATGTATTCATGGGTTAGCCTAATAGAAAAGAGTATTTACTCACTATGCTTGCTAGTAGATATTGGAAAACTCCTTCTCAGGATGTCTCCAGTGTCTGGAATGAATGTGTCTGGAATGTTACCTGGAATGAATCAGGTATAACCCTCTTTGAAGCCAAAGAACACTCCTAAATTACCTTTAAAGCATGTCTTTAGTCATTATTTTGTTTGTTTGTTTTTGAAACAGAGTCTCACTCTGTTGCTCAGGGTGGAGTGCAGTGGTGTGACCAAGGCTCATTGCAGCCTTGACCTCCCAAGCTCAAGCGATCCTCCCACCTCAGCCTTCCAAGTAGCTGGGTCTACAGGCACATGCCACCACACCCAGCTGATTTTGTTTGTCTGTTTGTTTTTTGTAAAGACAGGGTCTCACTATGTTGCCAGGGCTGGTCTTGAATTCCTGGACTCAGGCAATCCTCCTGCCTTGCCCTCGCAAAGTGCTGGGATTACAGATGTGAGCCACCGTGCCCAGCCTAGAAATAATTTTTAATTTCTGTAAACAGATTTCTTTTGGATTCTTTTAAAAGTCTTATTGTGCCTTTAAAGTTGCTTTTATAAGATGTAAGAATCATAGGATACATATTTATCTTTTTTCTTTCTTTTTTTTTTTTTTGAGATGCAGTCTCGTTTTTCCTCCTAGACTGGAGTGAAGTGGCACTATCTCTGCTCACTGAAATCTCCACCTCCTGGGTTCAAGTGATTCTCCTGCCTCAGCCTCCTGAGTATTACAGTATTACACCTGAGATTACAGGTGTATACCACCACACCCAGCTAATTTTTTTTATTTTTAGTAGAGATAGGGTTTCACCATGTTGGCCAGGCTGGTCTTGAACTCCTGACCTCAAGTGATCCGCCCACCTCAGCCTCATATTTATTTTTAAAAGTTCAGCTTCTTTCTTTGGTATATGGTATAATTCAATCGAATGACATCGTCCAATGTCTTCTATCTGATCAAAGCTGAAGAATTTCTATCCAGTAGTCCCTCTGCCTTGTGATCTTGGGTGCTGATTTTTCTTTTGGCTGAAGAAAAGCCAAGGTTCAGATGTTCTAGTGCTTCCCAGTATTCGCTGAGTCGTCTCTGGAGGACCAGGTTGGTAGGCAGGAGGAGGGAGGTTTGGAATCTGGCTGAATCTGTGCCTGTTTGTCTAGGAATGCAGACATGGAGATGACTCTGGAGCGAGCAGTGAGTATGCTCGAGGCAGACCACATGCTGCCATCCAGGATTTCTGCTGCAGCTACTTTCATACAGCACGAGTGCTTCCAGAAATCTGAAGCTCGGAAGAGGGTGAGTGTCATCTTCAGTCCATTGCAAAGCGCAACACACTTTCACTTCTATTATGGTGACTTTGCACACTGAAACCAATAATTTATTTAAATTTTTAAAAATTGGGACCGTGCGTGGTGGTTCACGCCTATATTCCCAGCACTTTGGGAGGCCGAGGCAGGTGGATCACAAGGTCAAGAATTTGAGGCCAACCTGGCCAACATGGTGGAACCCCTGTCTCTACTAAAAATACAAAAATTAGTTGGGTGCAGTGGCAGGTACCTGTAATCCCAGCTACTCGAGAGGCTGAGGCAGGAGAATCACTTGAAGCCAGAAGGCGGAGGTTGCGGTGAACTGAGTTCGCGCCACTGCACTCCAGCCTGGGTGACAGAACAAGACTCCATCTCAGAAAAAAAAGAAAAGAAAAAATCAACCGGGTGCAGTGGCTCACGCCTGTAATCCCAGCACTTTGGGAGGCCAAGGTGGGCAGATCACTTGAGGCAAGGAGTTCAAGACCAGCCTGGCCAAATGATGAAACCCCAACTCTACTAAAAAAAAATACAAAAATTAGCCATGTGTGGTGGCACATGCCTGTAACCCCAGCTACTTGGGAGGCTGAGGCAGGAGAATTGCTTGAACCCGGGAGGCAGAGGCTGCAGTGAGCCAAGATTGCACCACTGCACTCCAGCCTGGGCGACAGAGCGAGACTCATCCTGAAGAAGAAAAAACAAACAAAAACTTAATTGAGGTCTTTTACTTTAAAAGAAAACAGCCACTCATTACCAAAAATATTTCCTGCAATTCGGAAATGTAGAAAGTAAGTCACTACACAAATTTCCCTCTTCTTTTCCTGTCTCCCCAACCTCTCCATTTAGAACCATCCCCAGAGGCAAGGGTTTTGCAACTTTTTTTCATTCAGTGATTCCATTAACATTTGTAACAATTGTTCAATGAATTGCTTTGTGCATATATGTTTTGACACTTCTGTTCCTGTAGGACAGATCCTCAGAGATGGAATCAATATGTTATTTTATATTTGTCTTAAAAAGTGATACATTTGTGAGGGAGGAGGAATCACAGCTCAAAAAGGTGTTCAGTGAAAAGTAAGTCTCTTCTACTCCAAACTCCAGCCTATATATTCTCTCTGTTCTGTCTCTTTCAATCTCTCTCACACACAAACACATATATCAATTTTTTTATCTTTCCAGAGATATTTTATACACGAAGAAACAATTGTTGAAACAGTTGATTGAGTTTCCTTTTTAAAACATGAAATCATAAATGATAACTTACTACTTATAATACTTTATTTTTTTATACCGTATCTTGGAAATCTTCAATATGTATTAATCTTACTCATTCTTTTAAGATGCTGCATAGATTTCTGTTGTCTAAATGTATCAGTTTTGTTGGTTGATTTTTTAACTACCTTATTGAGGTACAATCTGACATAGTTTTGACAGGTTTGACACTAAAACCATCATCACAATCAAGATAACAAATATATCCATTACCTCCAGCGTTTTCTTGTGCCCCTGTGTAATCCATATAATCCCTCCAGCCCTCAACCTACGAACAGCCTCCCAAAACAACCAGTGATCTGCTTTCTTTCTATGTTTTGAGACAGGGTCTCACTGTGTCGCTTAGGCTGGAGAGCAGTGGTGTGATCACAGCTCACTGCAGCCTCAACTTTCTGGGCTCAAGCAATCCTCCCACCCCAGCCTCCTGGGTAGCTGGGACCATAGGCGCACACAACCATGCCCAGCTAATTTTTGTATTTTTTGTAGAGATGGGGGTCTCACTATGTTACCCAGGCTGGTCTGGAACACCTGGCTCAAGCAGTCCTCCTTCCTCGGCCTCTCAAAGTTCTGGGGTTACAGGCGTGAGCCACCATGCTCAGCCATGATCTGGTTTCTGTCACTATAGATTGAATTTTCTCGAATTTTATATAAATGGAATCATATAGAATATAAGATTTTTTTGGTTTGAATTATTTTACTCAGAGTAAGTCTTTTGAGATTCACCCATTTCGTGTTAATCAGAAGTTTTGGCTATTACAAATAAAGCTACCGTGAACATTTGTATACAAGTCTTCATGTAGACATGTGCTTTTATTTCTCTTCAGTAAATACCTAGGAGTAAATGCCTGGATGGTATGGTAGGTGTATGTTTGACTTTTTAAGAAACTGCTAAACCATTTTACAAAGTAGCTGTGCCATTTCACATTCCCACTCACAATTTATGAGAGTTCCAGTTCCTCCTCATCTTAACATTTGATATAGTGAGCCTTAATGTTAGCCTGTAAGTTTGTACAGGTGTTTTACTGTGGTTTTAATTTGCATTTCCCCAATGACAAAGGGGTTGAACTTTTTTTTTTTTTTTTTTTTTTTTTTTTTTGAGAAAGGATCTGCCTCTGTTGCCCAGGCTGGAGTGCAGTGGCACAATTTTGGCTCATTGCAACCTCCACCTCTCGGGCTCAAGTGATCTTCCCACCTCAGCCTCCCAAGTAGCTGGGCCTACCGGTGCACTACCACACCTTGCTAATTTTTGTATTTTTTGTAGAGATGGGGTTTCACCATGTTGCCCAAGCTGGTCTCCAACTCCCAAGTTCAAAGGAGCCAGCTACCTTGGCCTCCCAAAGTGATGGGATTACAGGCATGAGCCACCACACCCAGCCAGAACATCTCTTTATGTGTTTATTTGCCACTTACATATCTTCTTTAGTGAAATGTGTATTCAATTCTTTTGCCCATTTTGTTTTGTTTTGTTTTCTTATTATTGAATTTTGTAAGTTTTTTAATATTTTCTGTATACAAGACCTTTTCTAGATATATAATATGAAAATATTTTCTCCCAGTTGTGCTCTGTTTTTTCATTCTCCTAATAGGTTTTCATTTTAATGGGATTTAATTTATTCAGTTTTTTCCCTTTATGGTTTCTGCTTTTCATGTGTATCCAAGAAATGTTTCTCTATTCAAAAGTTAGAAGATAATCTATATTTTATCCTAGAAGTTTTGTAAATGTTATATATTTTAGTTGTTCTATGGTCCATTTGTGGTTAATTTTTTATATATTGTAAGATGTGGACTGAAGTTCCTTTTTTTGGTATATGTAAATTTAATTGTTCAGGTGTCATTTGTTGCAAAGACTTTTATTTCACTGCTAAATTGTCTTTGTATCTTTGCTGAAAAGGAATTGATCAAATATGTGAGTCTATTTCTGGACTGTGTATTCTGTTCTATTGATCTATTTGTCTTTTTTTTTTTGAGACGGAGTCACTCTGTTCCAGACAGGAATGCAGTGGCGCAATCTTGCCTCACTGCAGCCTCTGCCTCCCGGGTTCAAGCTATTCTCCTGCCTCAGCCTCCCAAGTAGCTGGGATTATAGGCATGTGTCACCATACATGGCTAATTTTTGTATTTTTTTTTTAGTGGAGTCGAGGTTTCATCATGTTGGCCAGGCTGGTCTTGAACTTCTTGCCTCAAGTGATCTGCCCACCTTGGCCTCCCAAAGTGCTGGGATTACAGGCATAAGCCACTGCACCCAGCCGATTTTTTTTTTTTTTTTTTTTCTGAGATGGAGTCTTGCTCTGTCACTCATGCTGGAGTGCAGTGGCATGATCTTGGCTCACTGCAACCTCCGCCTTCTGGCTTCAAGTGATTCTCCTGCCTCAGCCTTCTGAAGAGCTGGGATTACAGGCAACTGCCACCACACCCGGCTAATTTTTGTATTTTTGGTAGAGACAGGATTTCACCATGTTGGCTAGGCTGGTCTCCAACTCCTGACCTCAAGTGATCCACTCACCTCAGCCTCCCAAAGTGCTGGGATTACAGGTGTGAGCCACCACACCCAGCCTGTAAGATTATTTTTGAATGTTTACTATTCCCAAGTATTATTTCCTAAATGAATTTTGAGAAAATTGATTTTTTGAGGATACCATGGAAAACTGGGGATGTGAAACATTCTTACGTCCTAGTGCAAATAAATATGACTCAAGTCAACCACATCCTACTTTCAAAAAGCCTTCACCCAGAAAGGGGCCAACTTCTCATCATCTGATTCAGAGAAACAGACATGTTAGATAATAATCCCAGAGTAATTAGTCTTCAGCAAAGATGAAGACTATTTGTCTGTCTTATTCAAATTCCACAGTCTTGATTACTATCGTTTTATAAGTCTCAAAAGTAGGTAATGTTAGTCCATCCATTTTATTCTTTTTCAAAGTTTTGTCTATTCTACAACTTCAGCAGTTCCATTTGAAGTTTAGAATCAGCTTGTCAATTTCTTAAAAAATAATTGCTGGGATTTTGTTAGAGATTGCACTGAATCTGTAGATCAATATGGAGAGAATTGACATCTTAACAATATTGAGTCTTGTGACCCATGACCATGGTACATGTTAACATCTATTTAGGTCTTCAGTTTTTCTCAGCAGAGTTTTATAGTTTTTACTGTAGAGGTCTTTCATGTCTTTTCTTAGATTTATCCCTAAGTTTATCATATTTCCAGATGCTATTATAAATGGTACTTTTTAATTTCTATTTTTGGTTGTTCATTGCTAGTATATAGAATAGATAATATATATATAATATATATATTTACGTGTGTATGTGTGTGTGTGTGTGTGTGTGTGTGTGTATGTGTATAGTACTTGCTAGAACCTCTCCTACAATCTTGAAAAGAAGTGGTGAGCGTGGGCATATTATCCTGTTTCTGATCCCAGGGCAAAAGTATTCAGTCTTTCTTTCACCCTTAAATATTATGCTACCTGTAGGTTTTTTATAAATGACCATATCAAGTTGAAGAACTTCCCTTCTACTCCTGCTTTAATGGAGTTTTTGAATCACGAATGGATGTTGGATTTAGTCAGATGCTTTTTATGCATTTATTGAAATATTTTTATGGTTTTTAATTTTAATTTTGCCATTATGGTAAATTACCTTGATTGATTTTAAAATGGTATTCCATTCATAAACCCCACCTGGTTATGATGTACTGTCACTTTGTAGGTTTTATGACTAGATTTGCTAAAATCTTGTTAAGAAATTTTACGTCTGTGTAAAAGACATGATCTGTACTTTTAGTGTCTGTCTGATTTTGAGTTGTGGGTAATACTAGTCTCATAGAATGAACTGGGAAGTATTCCCTTCTTTTCAGTTTTTTGAAAGAGTTTGGTTAGAAATGGTATTATTTCTTCCTTAAATGTTTGGTAGACTTCAGCAGTGAAGACGTCTCAGCCTGAAGATTTTTATGTGTGAGAAGGTTCTTAGCTGCAAATTCAGTTTCTTGAACTGCTGTGGGGCTGTTTAGACTATCAGTGGCTTTTTTAGTGAGCTTTGGTAATTTGTGTCTTTCAAGGGAGTCTTTCAAGGGATTTGTCCATTTGATCTAAGTTGCTCCAGTGCTCTTTATTTGTTTGTGTAGATAGTGTGATCCTTTACCTTTACCTGAAAATTTTTATTTTGTTTTGTTTTTTACGAATCCACTTTTATTTATTATTGTTTCATTAGTTTAAATCCTTGAGGGGTACAGCATCACTCGGACTCTGTGTCCAATAGCTCTAGCAGGAAGATTGCTTCGGAATTTGGCACAAACCATGCCACTGTGTTCATGCGCCCAAGTTACCTTTCCCCAGATTACTCTGGTTTTGTTTGGTTTGCTGCCAGGAGTCACCGTGTTGTTCTTTGCTTTGTATACATAAGGACATCTCTTGCCCAAGTAGAATTCTGTTTCATCTCGGGCATAAACACCTTTAATTTTAAGAAGAGATGTGTTCCCTTTTGTTCTGGAGACCGCACTTATAGCCAGCAAAAATGGCCTCGGACTACAGACTGCTTTCCAGTCGTATTTCCATTTAGAACATTTAGAAGTCCCGTTCCTAGCCGGTCTCCACAGGATCCAAGATGGCGAGGCAAGAATACTTCTTTATTTCTTTCTTTATTTCTTTATGAGACAGAGTCTCACTCTGTCACCCAGGCTGGAATGCAGTGGCGCGATCTTAGCTCACTGCAACCTCCACCTTTCGTGTTCATGCAATTCTCCTGACTCAACCTCCCGAATAGCTGGAATTACAGGTGCCCGCCACTATGCCCGGCTAATTTTTGTATTTTTAGTAGAGGTAGGGTTTTGCCATGTTGGCCAGTCTGGTCTTTCACTCCTGACCTCAAGGGATCCACCCGCCTCTCAAAGTGATCCACTTGGGTCCTCCTGAAGTGATCTACCTCCCAAAGTGCAGGGATTAGAGGTGTGAGCCACCGTGCCCAGATGATCTGAAGAATTTTCTTTTCTTTTCTTTTCTTTTTGAGACGGAGTTTCGCTCTTGTTGCCCAGGCTGGAGTGCAATGGCACGATCTTGGCTCACTGCAACCTCCACCTCCTGGGTTCAAGCGATTCTCCTGCGTCAGCCTCCCGAGTAGCTGGGATTACAGGCATGCGCCACCATGCCCGGCTAATTTGTATTTTTAGTAGAGATGGGGTTTCTCCATGTTGGTCAGGCTGGTCTCAAACTCCCGACTTCAGGTGATCCACCTGCCTTGGCCTCCCAAAGTGCTGGGATTGCAGGTGTGAGCCACCATGCCTGGCCTACCTGAAGAATTTTTTTTAAATATTTATTTTAGTTCATCACCAGCAAACCTGCATTATTTCAGCTTCTGTATGTCTGAAAAAGAATTTCATCTTTGCTTTTGAAAGGTATTTTCACTGGCTTTAGAATTCCAGGTTAACAGTTTCTAAATATTAGTACTGAAAGTTGGCCACGGCGTGGTGGCTCACGCCTGTAATCCCAGCCCTTTGGAGGACTGAGGCGGGCAGATCACTTGAGGCCAGGAGTTCAAGACCGGCCTGGGCAACATGGTAAAACCCTGTCTCTACTAAAAATACAAAATTAGCCAGGTGTGGTGGCGGGTGCCTGTAATCCCAGCTACTTAGGAGGCTGAGGCAGGAGAATTGCTTGAACCCAGGAGGCGAAGGTTGCAGTAAGCTGAGATCACACCACTGCACTCCAGCCTGGGCAACAGAGTGAGACTCTCTCTCTGTCTCAAAGAAAGAAAGAAAGTTGCTCCACTGTCTTCTCACTTGCATCACTTGCATTGTTTTAGATAAGAAATCTCCTGTCATCCTTATCTTTCTTCCTCCATACATGAGTCTTTTCTTCCCACCTCTGGCTGCTTTTAAGATTTTCTCTTTCTTACTGGTGTTGATCAGTTTGGTCACATGTGCTTTAGTGTAGTTTCTCTTAGTTTTTTGTGCTTGGGAGTTCACTGAGCTTCATAGATTTGTGAATTTCTACTTTGCATCAAAATTAGAAAATTTTCACAGTTTTTCTATTCCTCCTTTGGGAACTACAATTACATACACGTTAGGCTTCTTTAGATCTTTCTTTTTTAGTCTTCTTTCTCTGTGTTTTTAGATAAGTTCAATTCCTATGCTTTACATTTGCTAATCTCTTAATATGTGTTTAATATGCCATTAATACATTAATGTGTTTAATATGCCATTAATCTTACTCAGTGTATTTTTTCTTCATACATTGTAGTTTTCATCTCTAAAATTTAGATTTCAGTGTTTTTATGTCTTCTATGTTTCTATTTAACATGTTCTATCTTTGCTCAAGATTTTTGAACATATGGAAGACAGATAAAATTGCTACCTTAATGTCCTTGTCTGCTAATTCTAATATCTGTGTCTATTCTAGGTAGCTTTTGATTGATTGGTTTTTCTCCATATTATGGGTCATATTTTTCTTCTTCTTTGCATGCCTGGCAGTTTTTATTGGCTCCTAGGCATTGTGAATTTTATCTTGTTGGATGCTGGATATTTTTGTAAATATTCTTGAGCTTTGTTCTGGGTGCAGTTAAGGTGCTTGGAAACAGTTTGATCCTTTCAAATTCTGCTTTGTTTGTTTGTTTGTTTGTTTGTTTTGAGACAGAGTCTTGCTCTGTCACCCAGGCTGGAGTGCAGTGGTACAATCTCAGCTCACTGCAACCTCCACCTCCCGAGTTCAAGTGATTCTCTTGCCTCAGCCTCCCAAGTAGCTGGGATTACAGGCGCATGCCACCATGCCCGGCTAATTTTTGTATTTTTAGTAGAGATGGGGTTTCACCATGCTGGCCAGGCTGGTCTCAAACTCCTGACCTCGTGATCTGTCCACCTTGGCCTCCCAAAGTGCTGGGACTACAGGCATGCACCACCGCGCCCAGACCAAATTCTACTTTTTAAAAAAAATTTTACTTGAAGCTTTGGGATACATGTGCAGTGTGCATTTGTTATATAGGTATACATGTGCCATGGTGGTTTGCTGCATCTATCAACCTGTCATCTAGGTTTTAAGCCCCGCGTGCATTAGGTATTTGTCCTAATGCTTTCCCTCTCCTTGCCCTCAAATTCTACTTTTAAGATTTGTTAAGTGGAACCAGAGCAGCATTTATTCTAGAGATAATTAATCCCTGCTTCTTAAGGCAAGACACTTCTGAGAACTCTATCTAATGTAGCAGGAATTTTTGAGATTTTTCTGGCTGGCTGATAAGAATAGTCATTGTTCCTAGGCCTGTGTGAACATGAGGAGCTGTTCCCTTAAATCCTTTTGGATGATTATTTCCCTGGCCTCAGACAGTTTCCTCATACCACATGTACTAATTAATACTCTACTGAATACTAGCAGGCAGGTCCTCTGCACATCTCAGGAGTTCTGTTTCTGTTCAGCTCTTTTCTCTGTGGTACTCTTTTCTGCAAAAATTAGCTCCTTTGGTCTTCTCAAACTCTGAGCTCTGTGCCCTCAACTCTGTTGAGTTTCACTTAAGTTTTCTCTCACTGCCCCATAGCCTGGGAACTCTCCCAAGGCAGTGATATCTAAGGGATCGCTATCCATCATTTACTCATTTTCAGTTATTGAAACCATTGTATGTTTTGTCCAATTTTTGTTTCAGGCAGTAAGTTGAGTTGTTAGTTACTATCGAGTCATTTTTAATTTTGATAAATAACTCCCCAATAAGTCCTCCCAAAAATTGTACAAATTTACACTCCCATCAACATTTTATCAGAGTGTTCATTTCCATGTACCATTACTACCACAAGGTATTATTCTTTTGTTTGTTTTTGTTAATCTGATAAGCAAAAATAGGCATTTCATTATCATAGAAATTTTCTTATATTTGAAATCAAGACTAATAGTTGTCCAATCAAACAGTTATTGAGGGCCAGGTATAGTGGCTCATACCTGTAATCCCAGAACTTTGGGAGGCCAAGGCAGGCAGATGACCTGAGGTCAAGAGTTCAAGACCAGCCTGGCCACCATGGTGAAACCCCATCTGTGCTAAAAATACAAGAATTAACTGGCATGGTGGCATGCACCTGTAGTCCCAGCTACTCAGAAGGCAGAAGCAGGAGGATAGCTTGAACCCAGGGGGCAGAGGTTGCAGTGAGCCAAGATCATGCCAGTGTACTTCAGCCTGGGCAACAGAGAGAGACTCTGTCACACACACACACACAAAAAAAAAAGTTACTGAGAAAAATATTTTTTAAAATGATAAAATAAACGCTTTTATAGAATTTATCATCATCTTGCATGCATAAACTATGCCCATTATAAATCATCTGCCATTTTTAGTTTAAGTTTAAAGTGGAATGAGAACTTAATGGAACTAATTCATCTGAGTTCAAATCCTAGTCTCTTACATTAATTCTATCCATCACTAATTACAGAGCTCTCTTAAGCTTTTCACCTTTATCTAGTCTTTCCAAAGCATCAAATTAATTTTCAGAGAAATAAGTACTCTTTCTATACTTATATTTCATCCATTTATAGAATAGGTAAGTAAATTACATAATTATAACAAATACAATTGACATAAATACCCTGGGAAGCAAACCTAAATTACTGTTGGTAAACATGTAACTCAACTGGTAGAAATAGAAGTGCAAAGGCTCAAATAGAGTAACCTACCAGCTTTGATAGTACTCTGAGAATCAAGGAGGTTTCACAGAGGGAAAAGAGAATGTTGTTGGTTAGCCTTGCAGGTCAGTCAAGTAAGGATCACACAACAGAGCTTCTGCTGATTTTTTTTTCACTTGAATTCATTAATTATTCATGAAGTTGAGCACCTTTTGGTGTGGTTTTTGACTTTGTATTTCTTCAGTGAATTGTCATTTTTAATCCATTGTGTATTTTTTCTACTAAGATATATCTCTTTCTTAATGACTTACAGTTCTTTACCTATTACACATATTAATTTGTTGTTACATATGTGGCAAATAGTTTCTCCTGCTTTATTTTTGTTGTTGTTTTTAACTTTGTTTTTTGTATCTTTCATCATGCAGGATTTTAAAATTCTTATGAGATCAAACTAAATATTTTTCATCTCGATGTCTATATTTTAGATATTGCTTTAAAAGACCTATCCCTACATCTAGACTTTGCCGTTTCAAAAGTTGTATAATTATGGAGCATTTCTCACTGACCCTTTGCCTATTTGTTCCGTAGGAAGAATGAATAAGGATTTTAGAAGACATTTAGCTAGTGATGAACATTCTTTATACATATAGGTGAAGGGAATGGGGCTGAATATTGATCCTTTAATAGCTAGTCAGAGATAAATCTTTAAATCTTTTTTTATTCCTGGTTTTTTGGGGCGTTTTGTTTGTTTGTTTGAGACAGGGTGTTGTTCTGTTGCCCAGGCTGGAGTGCAGTGGTGTGATCATGGCTCACTGCAGCCTTGACCTCTGGGGGTCATTCCTCCCACCGGAGCCTCCCAAGTAGCTGGGACCACAGGCATGGACTCGCCTGGCTTTTATATATATTTATATATATATATATATAAATATAAAATATATATAAATATATATATATATATATATATATATATATATTTTTTTTTTTTTTTTTTTTTGTAGAGATGGGGTCTCCCTGTGTTCCCAGGGCTGGTCACAAACCCCTGGGCTCAAGCAGTCTTCTCACCTCAGCCTCTCAAAGTGCTGGCGTTATAGGCGTGAGCCACCACACCAGGGCCTATTCCCAGTTTTTAAAAACTGGGCATCATTACGTATGCTTCGATTTTGTAGTACAAATTACTGGAATTTTTATTCTGTTTCCCAAGTTGGGCTAGATTTCTACTATCTCTTAAATTACTAATTTGATTAAAAATATCATTTTGCTTATACATAGGATTGAAGTTGTTTGCTGGCTTGACTGTCACTCAGAGATAAAGGTAGAACAAAGACTGGTTTTGAGAATGATGAAACATGAAAATTATATGCAAACCTAAAAATGTATATGCTTCATAGAAAATCTAAGAAGTATAATATCACAACCCAAGAACATTTGAAAAATCCTTCTTAGGTTAAACATGGTGCTATAGTTTTTAAATGTATGTATAAGAGAAAATTATAATTTGGACATAGAGATCAAAATTTTAAATCATAATACTTTTAAAACCAGTAGCAGCTTTTCAGTCCTCATTTTGTTTGATTAGGATTCTTGGTATTTGACGCTGTTGATCTCTCTCTCTCTCTCTTTTTTCTTTTTTTTTGAGACATGTTCTCACTCTGTTGCCCAGGCTGGAGTGCAGTAGCACTATCATGGCTCACTGCAGCCTCAACCTTCTGAGCTCAAGCAGTCCTCCTCTCTCAGCCTCCCGAGTAGCTGAGACTACAGGTGCATGCCACTATGCCCAGCTAATTTTTAAACATTTTTTGTGCAGATGGGATCTCCCTGCATTGCCCAGGCTGGTCTCAAACTCCTGGGCTTAAGCAGTCTTCCCACCTTGGCCTCCCAAAGTGCTAGGATTACAGACATGAGCTGTTGCGCCTGGCCTGAACATATTATCTTCTTTTGCTTTTCTTCTCTACTCTCCAACCCTCCCTCTGTCCTGTTGGGCTGGGAGGCAGGACATTGGTGGTTTAATCATGGACTCTGAAGAGTCACTGCTAGCTGAGTTTGAATCCCAGCACCCTAATTACATAGGTGCCCTTGGGCAAGATATTTTACTTCTCTGAGCTTCAGCTTTCTTACCTATAAAGTAGAAATAGTTCTCCTACCAAGAGTTGTCCTGAGAATGCAGTCAGATAATGGTGCACTGCCTGCCACAAGGCAATAACTCCGGGCAAATTGTTCCCTGTCAGTGAACGGTAGGAGGGTGGTTCACCCAGGTAATTTCACACCAAAACGTGAACACTCTTTGAATCTTCTTTTTTTTTTTTTTAATTATACTTTAAGTTCTAGGGTACATGTGCACAACGTGCAGGTTTGTTACATATGTATACATATGCCATGTTAGTGTGCTGCACCCATTAACTCGTCATTTACATTAGGTATATCTCCTAATGCTATCCCTCCCCTTTCCCCCTTCCCCATGACAGGCCCCAGTGTGTGATGTTCCCCGTCCTGTGTCCATGTGTTCTCATTGTTCAGTTCCCACCTATGAGTGAGAACATGGGGTGAACCTTCTTTTTTCCTTACCTCTCATAGTCACTCAGTCTTCAGGTCCTGTTAATGCTACTTCTAAAAGTATTTGGAATCTACCCACATCTTTCCCTCCCTACTCAGAGATACTGTCTTGGTCCCAGCACCATCTTCTGTTAATCCAGCTGTCTCCAGATTAACATCCCTGTCTCCATTCTTATCCATTCCTAATAGTCTCATGCTTCACAGCCCCCAGGGAGACCTTTCCAATAACTGCCCCCATTGCCTGCAGGATAAAAGACAAATCCCTTAATTTAGTCTGTAAGACCCTTCTTAACGTGGTCTTATTTTCATGCCTGTTTCATATCTCATCACTGAAGTAGTCACTGCCATAAGTATCTTGCAAAAACTTACTATAAAACAAATTCAAGTTTTTGATAAGAAATTTGAGAAATTAAAAAACAAAAAAGGAAATGCACCCATAATCTCACCATTATCATTTTGGTTTTGTTCTCTAATTTTTAATGCATATACTTACATATCTTCAATCAAATTGCATATGTAGCTTTCTTTGTCCCCACAAAAAAAAATTTTTATTTCGATTTTTAAATCGAAATAAATACAGGCTCATTATTTGAAAACATAGAAAATGGCAGATCCTATTTATGATTCATACATTTACCACTTCTCCCAAATTCCCTAATCTCATTTCCTTTTTGCCTGTGTTTATGAGTAGAAATTCATAGATATTTTCTTCCTTTTTTTTTTTTTTTTTTTTTTGAGATGGAGTCTCTCTGTCGCCCAGGCTGGAGTGCAGAGGCTTGATCTCGGCTCACTGCAACCTCTGCCTCCCGGGTTCAAGCAATTCTTCTGCCTCAGCCTCCCCAGTAGCTGGGATTACAGGCTTGCGCCACCACACCCAGCTAATTTTTTGTATTTTTAGTAGAGACGGGGTTTCACTATGTTGGCCAGGCTGGTCTCGAACTCCTGACCTCAAGTGATCTGACCTGCCTCGGCCTTCCAAAGTGCTGGGATTACAGGCGTGAGCCATCATGCCCGGCCTTATTCCATTTTTTAAATGACATATGAATTTTTATAACATTAATATTTTATAAATTTCAGTTAACATTGTTAAAGGTGATGGTAGTTGCTACCTTGTGTTGAGTAACTACTGTGTGCCTGACATGTAACTGCTCATCTTACACAGTAATTCCCATTTGACTAATGAGGGAACTGTATGGCTAATAAAGTGTCAGCTCTGCCTCTCCCGTGGATACCTCAACATGTGGGTATGTGACAACCATCAACCAGTCTTCCCCCATTGCTGGATGTTAATGGTTTCTTATTTTCTGCTATTACAAAAGATGTAGTCACTATTTTTGCATGTTAGTCTGTGTCTTCATTTCACATTGTTTCCCAATAAAAGTTACTAGAAGTGAATATTTTAAAAGTTTTGACACATATTGCCACTTGCCTTCCTGAAAGATTATGCCAGTTTACAGGGAGTGATTAATTCTAATGGGAGGGAAAGCAGAGAAAGGAGTGACATTTCATAGAGGAGGTGACATTTGAGCTGGATCCCACAGGATGAGTAGGGCTTTGCCAGAAGAGAGGCAGAGTGGACTGAACCTTCCAGACAGGAGGAGGAAGCAAGAGCAAAGGCTCCAGGTCTGGAGAGAGCCTTTGCCTCAGCAGAGGCTGTGTGTTCCCTATGCTTATTTGCAACCAGAAGTCCTCGTCATTTACTTATTTTATAATTGGCAGGGAAGATAGAATAAAGCCACAGAGAGAGTTAAAATTCTCATATGTGACTCTGCCCTTTCATGTATTTAGAAACCAACTCAAATGAGAACTTCTTTGAAGTTCTGAAACATTCATGGTAGTCTATTTCTTTTTTCCTTTTCCCAAAGGAGGGAAAAATACCCCGAGGATTCAGTATAATTGGGAAACTCATCAAACCTCCCTGGTTCCAGCTGCTTCCCTGAACGTTAAGGGACAATAGCAGCATATTTGACATTGGTCCTAATGTGGATAGGATTCATCACCTACCATCTTCTAGTTACATGCAAGGAGAAGGTCATTAACTTTTTGCATTTAGCAGGATTTATATCCATTTGCTTGATAAAATGGATGAAAGTAACTAAAATCTATTTTTAAGCTTGGGATAAGTGCCAGACACTAGGGAGTCAAGTTATACAGTAAGTAGAGCTGTAGCCGGATTTCGGCCTTTATCTAAGCACTGGTATGTCTGTAGTTCTCTCTTTCCGGGCTAGAGCAAGTGCTGAAAGCCAAGGTGATAAAGGTGACAGGGTAAGGGAGCAGGTCTGAGCTGGGGAGGCTTCCGTATGCCACTTCTTACTAATTCTATCATTGCAGCTTGAAATGCAATATGGCCAGTAAGCCATTTCCCATCATATTTTGAAGAAAGCAACTTATAAATTATGAATTAAGTTAATAAAATATTTCTAAAGCTGCCAAAGTACCTCAGGACAAATAGGATTTTTTTTGCATCTGATATATATACTGCTACTGGGAGGATTTGGTATATCTGGCATTCATGAAGCTTATAAAGTGTGAATGTATATTATGAACTTATATTTTCTTAAAAACCTAAAAACAGGCACTGTGCCACAGTAGCAGAATAACAGATCGTACCCAGAAGACACGGGTATATATCCCACAGTGCTATTTTGCCAGTCAAGGCCTTTCTTTCTGTAGTTTAACTTATTAAAAGGAGGAAGCCAGCTGGGCGCGGTGGCTCACGCCTGTAATCCCAACACTTTGGGAGCCTGAGGCCGGCAGATCACCTGAGGTTGGGAGTTCGAGACCAGCCTGGCCAACATGGCAAAACCCCATCTCCACTAAGAATACAAAAATTAGCTGGGCATGGTAGGGCGCGCCTGTAATCCCTGCAATTAGGGAGGCTGAGTGAGACAGGAGAATTGCTTGAACCCAGGGGGCGGAGATTGCAGTGAGCCAAGATCGTGTCACTGCACTCCAACCTGAGCGACAGAGCGAGACTCCGTCTCAAAAAAAAAAAAAAAAGTATGAATTTACCTTAAAACCTTACCATGAAATAAAAATTAGGGAATTAGGGAAACGTGAATTACAGGTTGTTTTAACATAAATTGTGTATTTTGGTTTTTTTTTTTTTTTTTTCGTTTAAGGAAATGTAATACAGGTTAAGTATCACTTATCCAAAATGCTTGAGACCAGGAGTATTTTGAATTTAGGGTTTTTCAGATTTTGGAATATTCGCATTACATTGGTTGAGCATTCCTAATCCAAAAATCCAAGATCTGAATTACTCCCTTGGAGCATTATGTTAGCATTCAAAAAGTTTCAGATTTTGAAGTATTTCAGATTTCAGATTTTCAGATAAGGGATACTTAGCCTGTAATAGGAATAGATGAAGTGATGAAATAATCTGTTGGACCAGATTTACTTGACAGCTAAGAAATATTTTTTTTGAGATGGAGTCTCACACTGTTGCCCGAGCTAGAGTGCAGTGGTGCCATTTCTGCTCACTGCAAGCTCCACCTCCTGGGTTCAAGCAAATCTCCTGCCTCAGCCTCCCAAGTAGCTGGGATTACAGGCACCCACCACCATGCCTGGCTAATTTTTTTGTATTTTTAGTAGAAATGGGGTTTCACTATGTTGGCCAGGCTGGTCTCGAACTCCTGACCTCATGATCCGCCCACCTTGACCTCCCAAAGTGCTGGGATTACAGGCATAAGCCACCGTGCCCGGCCAGCTAAGAAATCTTTATCATGCATTTAAATGGCTTTAGACACAGTCCAACAAAATTGCTGTGGCCACTCTCCCATCTGTCTCTTGTTCTGCAAATGTCTCCTCAGAAGGGAGCCAGCAAGTGGAAGTATTTACTCCTTATTACGTCCAGTGAAGCCTTAAAGGAATCAAGAGTACTTTCTTCTTAAGGTTCTTGCAATCTATTAATTAGATAATGTATGTAAAACTCCTAACATTATACTGACGCTTCTTAATGTTAGAAGTAGGAGGGAGAGGAGTTGTAATTTTTGCTTTATTATGATGACTGTGGTTGTTATTGTTGTGGCTATTATTTAGATTGTTTTACATTTCTGATGTTTATTTCCGCCTTTCTAGTCTTTTCTCCAATCCTGTCAAAGGAATATGTAATATTGGAGGGCTGTGTCCTAAATACCATTTACCTGTCTATGAAAGGGAGGCTAGAACTTGGTACATAGAAAATATGCAAATCTGCCCCTGGCCAGGCGTGCAGCTCTCCGCTGAGCATAAACTGCTGGTAGTTAGGGTGTCCTTCCTAAGTGACAAACTTCGTCTGAAAGGCAAGTTCATGCCCGTTCATGAAAACTTATTTCCTCAAAATTTCTTCATGAAGATAGTGAAAATGAGATCTTTACCAACAGCTCTTGGCAACTTAAAAGTTTCAAAATCAGATGTGAATGGAAGCCTAAGAGAAGGAAAGCCTTCAGTCTACAACCTAATGTTTTATTTCACCAACGCTGTGTCTGATTTCTTTAGATCATATTTTCCGACTAAAACAGAAAATCTCCCTGCTTAGATTAGGATTATTTGGCCCCTTCTTAGATCAATTTGTTTCCCATTCCTGGTTGTGCCCTTTCTCTAATAGCATGCGCTTTCTTACGTATTTGGATAGAAGGAATATTTTTTAAATAACACATTTAAAAGTGTAAAATTATTTTATCTGCTTAAAGTGCTTGCATAAGTTTTATAAGTCTTTTAAAATACTCCATGCAATTGGTTATAAGAATTTAGGGTTAGTGGCCGGGCGCAGTGGCTCACGCCTGTAATCCCAGCACTTTGGGAGGCCGAGGCGGGTGGATCACAAGGTCAGGAGATCGAGACCATCCCAGCTAACATGGTGAAACCCCATCTCTACTAAAAATACAAAAAATTAGCTGGGCGTGGTGGCGGGCGCCTGTAGTCCCAGCTACCCAGGAGGCTGAGGCGGGAGAATGGTGTGAACCTGGGAGGCGGAGCTTGCAGTGAGCCGACATCCCGCCACTGCATTCCAGCCTGGGTGACAGAGCCAGACTGCATCTCAAACAAAAAAGAATTTAGGGTTAGTTTGCATTACTACTGAGGCTGACATGGTAAATGCATTTTTATTTCTGTTAATGAAAGTGATACTATTCATTTTATATGGACTATAAAGTTTTGTCTTAGGAAAAAACTTACGTAATTTTGGATTATTTAATAAAAAAAACTCTCCTTACTGCCTAGATTCCCAATTCTTTTCATTTTTATTATGCTCCAAGCTTTTATCACTTAACTTTGTTTAACTAGTACCTATGCACCCTTTATCACTTAATCTTCCCCTTCAATTATTTCATAGGTTTCAGTCTTAACTTCCCAAATGTACTATAAGTTCCTTGATGACAGATACTGCCTTATAGCCGGGGTATATTCTACAAGAGCCTCAGTTGTGCTACACATAGTTGTTGATGAAGAAAGGTTATAGTCAGCATCAGTAAACTTCATCTGTTTGTATTACATTGAATGCCTTGATGCCACATCAAAATTAATATTAGAAATATGCATCTGCTTCTTCCCCAGGTTAACCAGCTTCGTGGCATCCTCAAGCTTCTGCAGCTCCTAAAAGTTCAGAATGAAGACGTTCAGCGAGCTGTGTGTGGGGCCTTGAGAAACTTAGTATTTGAAGACAATGACAACAAATTGGAGGTGGCTGAACTAAATGGGGTACCTCGGCTGCTCCAGGTGCTGAAGCAAACCAGAGACTTGGAGACTAAAAAACAAATAACAGGTAGTGCTTACTGAACATTGAAGAACCTAACACATTTGCACCCCAGCCAGATGCCTTACATCATCTCTTTTTCTTAAGTTTCCTGGAGCAAATGATTGATGGGCTCATTGTTATGCTAGAGAAGGCTTTAAAGGAACATTGTTACCTGCTGGCTTAGACTCCAGATTTGAGCCACATTCGAATTCCTTTTTTTTTTTTTTGAGACAGAATCTTGCTCTATCACCCAGGCTGAGGTGCAGTGACTCAATCTCAGCTCACTGCAACCTCCGCCTCCAGGGTTCAAGCAATTCTGCCTCAGCTTCCCTAGTAGCTGGGATTACAGGCATGTGCTACCACACCTGGCTAATTTTTGTATTTTTAGTAGAGACGATGTTTCTACTAAAGTTTAGTTTCACCATGTTGGCCAGGCTGGTCTCGAACTCCTGACCTTGTGATCCGCCCGCCTCGGCCTCCCAAAGTGCTGGGATTACAGGCATGAGCCATGAGCCACTGCGCCCAGCCTGAATTCCTTTTTTCTAAAGGGGAAAATGTTCTGCGGCTTTTGCTTAATATTCTTAATTAGAAACTCTATGCACCTTTGACTAAATGTCTTTAAAACAATTTGACAAGACTCACTGCAATGAAAATTCTGCTTAAATTCACTAACAGCCCACTTTGTAGTTTAAGAACGTGTAGGATTTCACTGTTATCCTAGGTGTCCCAAACTAAATTTTGGTTTCTTTCTTTCTAAAGAAAACTGACAAGAACCACACCCAGTTGTTTGTATTATTTACTCAACAACCAGCTTGCTGGATCTATAGAAAATGAAATGGAGTGTCACATAGTTTTCCAGTGTGGAGGATCAATGTAATCAAATATTAGAAACTGTTTTTTCCAATCTTTCCATTATCTGGACTCCTCTCAGTACCACCTCCTTAGCTCACTGAAACCTTAAAGAAGAAAAGAGTAACTGGATATGTTTGTTTTTTTAATTCTCTACTTCACATTTTTGTTCAAATACTGATTGGAGCAAATGTCTCCTTTTTATGCAATGAATTGGAGAGATGGACTAATCAGATAGAATTAAAACAGCAGTGTTAGTAATATGTCCTCTAAGCATGAAGAGAAGGGGCTACTTTCATTTAAATGAACAGTCGTATGATAAAAGAGAAGATGATTTGTTGATGTTCCAGAATAAGCACTCTCCCTGCCATCACCATCAGCTCTCCGCTTGTGTTCCCTGCACACAGTACAAAGAGTACAGGAGGGGCTGGGTGCAGTAGCTCATGCCTGTAATCCCAGCACTTTGGGAGGCCAAGGCAGGAGGATTGCTTGAGCCCAGGAGTTCGAGACCAGCCTGGCCAACATAGTGGGACCCTGTCTCTATGAAAAATAAAGAATTAGCCAGGTGTGTTAGTGGTGTGTGCCTGTAGTCTCAGCTATTCAGGAGGCTGAGGTGGGAGGATTGCTTGAGCCTAGGAGGCTGAGGCTGGTGCAGTGAGCCATGATTGCACCACTGTACTCCAGCCTGGGCAACAGAGTGAGACCTTATCTCAAAAAAATTAACAAAGATTGCAGGAGGCATAACTGAGTGCAATCATCAGTAAATTTTTGTTAAATATCTTCAATGTCTCAGCGATATACGTACATTTTCTAATTTAATTATCACAGAAACCTTGGGTTTCTAGGTATTATCAGGTGCTATATCTCAATTTTACAGATGAGGAAACCAATGCTCAAAGAATATACATCATAGAAGAGGTTTTTTTTTTTTTTTTTTTAACTGTGTAATAGTTGACAGTGTTCTGGTAAATACTTTTAACGGAAATACTCCACAAATATTGTTTTAAAGTAAATTGAATATATTTTGCTCTTCTACCTGCTTCATTTAGTTATATAATAGGTTTAATTTTTCTATAAAGATTTTGTCATTATGTTATCTCTACTCGCTTTATGTCTTAAAATATCACATTTTAAAAAATTCAACATTCATTTTAGATTTGGGGTTACGTGTTCAAGTGTGTCACATGGATATATTGTGTGATGCTGAGGTTTGGGATACGAATGGTCCTGTCACCCAGGTACTCAGCATAGTACCCAACAGATAGTTTTTCAACCCTTGCCCCCGTCCTTTCCTCCCTCTTTTATTCATCTTTAAGTCCATGTATACCCAATGTTTAGCTCCCATTTGTAAGTGAGAATATGTGGTATTTGATTTTTTGTTTTTGCATTAATTTGCTTAGGATAATGACCTCCAGCTGTATACATGTTGCTAAATATCACATTTTAAATTCTGATATATTTTAATGTTATAAAACTATGTGAGGTACCATGCTACTCTCTCTATTCTCTTTTTCTTTTTGAGACAGAGTCTTGCTCTGTTGCCCAGGCTGGAGTGCAGTGGCATGATCTCAGCTCACTGCAACGTCTGGTTCCAGGGTTCAAGCAATTCTCCCTGCCTCAGTCTCCCAAGTAGCTGGGATTACAGGTGCCCACCACCACGCCCAGCTAATTTTTTGTATTTTTAGTAGAGACGGGGTTTCGCCACGTTGATCAGGCTGGTCTTGAGCTCCTGACCTCAGGCGATCCGCCTGCCTCCGCGTCTCAAAGTGCTAGGATTACAAGCGTGAGCCACCGCGCCCTACCAGTACCATGCTACGCTCTTGCCAGCATTCTGTCAGGTCCCATGAGGGATTTCTTTTCATATCCATGATTTGTATTCAAATGCCTGTAGAAATTAAAAGTGATTCCATTCATTTAACCAACATTTACAGAGCAGCTTTCAGGGGTCAGGTACTGAGAATCACAGCCTAGGGACGGTGTGGATTTGGGGTTTTTTTGTTTTTGTTTTTTTTAAAGGATGGGGATCTCGCTGTGCTGCCTGGGCTGTTCTTCTGGGCTCATGAGATCCTCCTGCCTCAGCCTCCTCAGTAGCTGGGACTACAGGGACATGCCACTGCACCCGCGTTGGATTTTGTTTCTCCATCTACTAGTTTTATAGTCAGGAAATACTTCCTGAAGGGGTTATGTTTCATTGTGGACCTTAAAAAAGGAATAGGCTTTGGATTGGTGTTTTGAAAGAGGATGAAAGTTATTCCTGGCAAAGTGAGCATCACTAGCAAGGCAAAGAGGCAGAAAGAAACTAGCTGCCGGTCATTTAGAGGAGACATGGAAAATAGCGTGATTTGGAGTTAGGGTGCCTGGTAGTTAGAAAGCTTGGGAAGTGTGTGTGTGCTTGCGTGCGTGTGTGTGTGTGTGTCAAGGGAACAAGCCATTGAATCACGCTTCCTCTTCTCCTGCATAGGCAATAGGAGACTAACGTCAGAGAACATTCTGTGATGTTGATGCCATGTGAAACCATTCAGGCATCATTAGATCATCTATAGAGTTGATAAATGGAAGTTGATTGTGCAGCACCCAGGATTTCTAGTATAAGCCAAACATCCCTACTGGAGGGTGTTCATTACATGCTAATTGAACCAAACAGACATTTGAACATCTGATACAAATCCTTCTAAATTACTCCCTTTGGCTCTACTAATAGAAGAGCTAAATAAGGGCTTTCTGGGCCTCAGAAATAAATTGTTAACCTAATATAGACATGTTTATATCTTTGTTTAGAAACACAAAGAAAGTAAGTATATATGTGAATCTTACTGGTCTATTTCTTTGACCTTTTTTTTTTCTGAACCCCTATTATGTGTTGGTCACTAAGCTAAGGCTTTCTGTTTTTTTATCCCTATTTCTCCTGACAACTCCGTAAGAGGTGAAAGCATAATTGGTGACTTACATATGATCAGTGTGAGACTCAGAGGGGTTAAGTAAATTGCCCAAGGTTGCCTAAATGGTAAAGAACAAAGCCCAGGTTTGAACCTAGTTGTATCTGAGTGTTTTGCTGTCACCCCACCTACTTTTGAGGCACGTGATGACTCATTTGTATAGTCTTTGAGAAGGGGCTTGTCTTTGAGACTCCTCTGATCAGAGAGCTCTTCCTCACTCCTCTGACACCCTTCCTCTCTCTTCTTTTTTTTTTTTTTTTTTGAGAAGAAGTTTCATTCTTGTTACCCAGGCTGGAGTGCAATGGCGCAGTCTTGGCTCACTGCAACCTCTGCCTCCCAGATTCAAGCGATTCTCCTGCCTTAGCCTCCCAAGTAGCTGGGATTACAGGCATGCGCCACTATGCCTGGCTAATTTTGTATTTTTAGTAGAGATGGAGGTTTCTCCATGTTGGTCAGGCTGGTCTCGAACTCCCGACCTCAGGTGATCTGCCGGCCTCAGCCTCCCAAAGTATTGGGATTACAGGCGTGAGCCACTGTGCTGGCCCCTCTGTCTTCTTGTCTCTGCCTTGGTTCAAGCTGTCTTCATCTCTCGCTCTACTTCTGCAGTAGTAGCCTAGGATCTTCTCTTCTAATGAAAGAACTTCAGGATCAAAGACACCCCCACTCCCCCCACCCCGGTGAGATTGTTCTTTCTCCCTTACTAAGTGAGCGTGGTAGTGTTCCCGTAATTGAAATGAGAACGGCACATCTTAGTCTCAGAAGTTCATCTTCAAGGTCACTGAGTAGTGAGCATTGGCTGGAGTGAGCAGGGATATGCCTTGGATTAAAACGGACAAGTCATGATAAGAGTGCAGCAGGGGTTCTTATCCCTCTTTCATTACATATGAAAGAGTCAGGGTAATTGTCAGTGAAATGTGTTAAAACTGCATATTAATCCCTGCATATTTTATAGAAGTACTTAATTGGATTGCTGTATTTAATAAAATACTCAGAATGTTTTGCTATAAAATATTTATTATGCACTTTCTTTAAGTAATTGTATATTATTTTATTCCGCATTCGTAATGTGTAACAAGGTACCCTGGGTTTATATATAACTTGGAATACGTGGCCGTTTCAATAATCTGATATTCCAGTTAAGATTTGCAAAATTTAGGTGAAAGGAGGGGTATATCTATGCAAGGGAAATTGTAAATAAATAAAAAAAAATTCCTCCCACTCTTTGACCACTTTGAAAAACACGGTTAAAAAGAACCAGTTTTCTTTCTTGTCCTTGTCCGAGCGGTCATTGTCCTCATCTCTGCCTCCTCATTCTTTTTCACTGAAGATAGGGATTTATTTAATCATAAAACTTGTAAGTTTTGCTGCCTATGTGTTAAGGCAGATTTGTTAAATTACTATATTTTCTGTCCTAGAGGTCATTAATTTTTTTATTATTATTTTTATTTATTTTTTTGAGACGGAGTCTCGCTCTGTTGCCGAGGCTGGAGTACAGTGGCATGATCTCGGCTCACTGCAAGCTCCGCCTCCCGGGTTCACGCCATTCTCCTGCCTCAGCCTCCCAAGTAGATGGGACTACAGGCACCCGCCACCACGCCTGGCTAATTTTTTTTGTATTTTTAGTAGAGACGAGTTTTACCATGTTAGCCAGGATGGTCTCAATCTCCTGACCTCGTGATCCGCCCCCCTCGGCCTCCCAGAGTGCTGGGATTACAGGCATGAGCCACCGCGCCCAGCCGAGGTCATTATTATTTAACATGAGTTGTAATATCTAAGCTCCCTTTACTGGTTAGCTATTTTTTACAAACATCACGGTTGGCAGTAAATTTCTGGCTAATGGAGTTATTGTCTCTTATAATTGGTAATTATTCTAATTATATCCCTTAACAGAGTCCAGATCCCTTTCTTTTTGGCTAGAATGAGAGCCTCATGGTAGAAAATTACAGGCAGACAGACCATCTGCAACAAAGAGCTATACTAGTAGACATTAAGACACTATGAAAAAATTGATCAGAAGTTAAGGATGAGACACATGAAAACCCAAACCGTAAATATTATATTAGGTAATCCAGAATCTGATCATTGAAGGGACATCTATTCAGAATCATCTAGTCTATTGGTTTCCTCATGCCCAAACTGGAATCTTTTTTTAAAATATAAGTTCCTGAACTCCATCCTGAGACTCTGGCTCAGCAAATTTGGGGCATGGCCCAAGACTGTGAGTCTGTTTTGTCACTGGGCTCATTTGGAAACTGCTCATCTAGTCTAACACTTTAATTTCAGGGTAAAAGCCCTCATCTACTTTCTGATAAGAGATAAGCTAATTTTTATTCCCTCTAGTGATAGAGCTGGGTCTTACAAGTAGTTCTTTCTGTTTTCTTCAAAGCTCTCTTAGAAGTTTATACTTTCAGTGAGCCAAAATCTCCTTCTTTAGAATTTCCACTCATCGGTTCTGGTTTTGCCTCCTCTAGTCATGGAAAATGATATCTAGTTGTTTAAATTTGTATTTCTTTAGTTACTAGAGAACATGGATTCCTGTGTACATTAGCTCCTAATATCAGTTGGTTTTGTGTTATGTACCTTCCCAATTTTTCTACTGGTGTTTCGCTTTTTAGTGATTTATAAAAATTCTATATATTAAGAGTATTAAACTTTTATCTCATATTGTACATATTTTCCCAGTTTGTAGTTGGTTACTCACTGATTTTGTGTGAGGGTATGTGTGTATGAGCATATGTAATTCTGAATCTCTATTGAACATCTTAGTTCTTTCACAGCTTTCATGCCACCCAGAAATTTGACAGGCATGACATTTCTATGCAAAATCCTATATTAGAAATTCTAAAATTATGCTGAAACTTCCAAAATCATATACTTTTGTAGAAATAATGGAGCATGGCAAGCTCTAAAGGATATTGACTGTTGAAGGAAAATTCCACTCCCTTTGTTCCAATTAATCCTCTCTGGTTTTTATTGTAAGGTGTACTTTTTCTTTGAGTGTCCTGTGTGGTCCTTTTTAAAAGGAGGAAATGTCATTATGCTTCACATTCTTAAGCTTCTGGCAGGCAGAGACTATTAATTTGTTTGCTTATTTAGGACTAAAGAAGCTTTTGTTTTTTTTCTTCATTTCTCTCTTCTTTCTAACTTGCTTTTGTAGCTTAGTAACCAAAACTCAGCCTCAGACTTGTCTTTAAATTGTTTTCAACCACCTTCTGAGTTTTATCTGTCCCTCTTCCAGGGCCTCTTAAGGAGAAGCAGGAGGAATGAAGTCATTGTATTGCAAAACCTGTGGCTGAGGGACACTGCTCCTTAACCCCAAATGCTAGTTTGATCAGGAAAATACCTCCTCATAAGCCAGAAATCTAGTCCTCACAAGACACCAGACACAGTGTCACTGTATCTAATGGAAGCTCTGTGTAGGCTCCAGTGGAAATCTGGTTACAGTTTCAAAAAGTAGCTACCTGTGCACAGCAGAAGCAAACTGTTTAAGCCCAAAAGACTGCATGAAGCCTAATGTGTTCTAATTGGTTGGACCAAATATAAGTATGCTGAGTAATTACCAAGCTTTAACTATACAGGCTCTTATTTCAGGGGAGGTGATGTTTGCCACATAGTTCAGCCAAGTCTGCCACATTTGCTGTGTTCATAAAGGAGCCTGCCCTGAGTACCTATGCTTCCTCTTTCCTTTGTACAGACCATACAGTCAATTTAAGAAGTAGGAATGGCTGGCCGGGCGCGGTGGCTCACGCCTGTAATCCCAGCACTTTGGGAGGCCAAGGCGGGCGGATCACGAGGTCAGGAGTTCGAGACCAGCCTGACCAACATGGTGAGACCCCTGTCTCTACTCAAAATACAAAAAAATTAGCCGGGTGTCGTGGTCTGCGCCTGTAATCCCAGCTACTCAGGAGACTGAGGCAGGAGAATCACTTGAACCCGGGAGGCAGAAGTTGCAGTGAGCCAAGATTGTGCCACTACACTCCAGCCTAGGTTACCGAGTGAGACTCTGTCTCAAAAAAAAAAAAGTAGGAATTGCTGGGCCAGGCACAGTGGCTCACGCCTGTAATCTCAGCACTTTGGGAGGCCGAGGTGGGCGGATCACCAGGTCAAGGGTTCGAGACCAGCCTGGCCAACATGGTGAAACCCCGTCTCTACTGAGAATACAAAAATTAGCCAGGCATGGTGGTGTGTGCCTGTAATCCCAGCTACTCGGGAAGCTGAGGCAGGAGAATTGCTTGAACCTGGGAGGCAGAGGTTGCAGGTAGCCGAGATTGCGCCACCGCACTTCAGCCTTGGCAACAAAGCAGTACTCCATCTCGGGGGAGAAAAAAGAAGTAGGAATTGTTGCCTGGGCAGTGAGAAGGATAGGGTAGAAAGGGAAGAGTCATCCCTTCTCTTTCTGCCCCTCTTCTCCTTTTCCTGGGCATTAGTGAGTTAGTGTAACCCATTACGGTATGAAAGATAATGAGGCGGGCCAGGCAATGGCTCATGCCTGTAATCCCAGCACTTTGGGAGATCGAGGCAGCAGATCATTTGAGGTCAGGAGTTTGAGACCAGCCTGGCCAACATGGTGAAACCCGTCTCTACCGAAAATACAAAAATTAGTCAGGCATGGTGGCGGGCGCCTGTAATTCCAGCTACTTGGGAGGCTGAGGCAGGAGCATTGCTTGAACCTGGGAGGTGGAGATTGCAATGAACCGAGATCAAGCCACCACTGCACTCCAGCATGGGCAATAGAGTGAGACGCAGTCTCAAAAAAAAAGAAAGAAAGATGACGAGGCAACTTTACACCTGCTGGGAGTCCCTGGAATAGCAAGCAATCAGTGTACAGTCTTCCTTCCACTGAATCAGAAGGATTCGAGCTCCAAATTTCAAAAACAAAAAAAATCCTAAACGTATATGCCACTTTCTATTTTCTCTCAGTACTCAGCCTCAGTCTGTATGTCACAGTATATACCTTATAAAGTACAACATGCTATTATCTCAGTTTCTTCTGGATTGGCCTATATGGTCTTTCTCTTTAATATGGGGGATTCAAGAGGAAAGAGAAAATTTAATGAGTAAATAGGGTACTAATCTTTGAGCAGTACTTAGGCCATGCAAGTTGGCCAATAGGGAAGATGCTGTTGTCTCTCCTTCACTGCCAAACTATAAAATAAGGATACATGAGGTAGCCAGAATAAATTGCTGGAGGACATGATTCTGTCATTGGGTAACAGTCAATAACATTAATTGGTGATGTTGATCAGCTTCCTGTTGACAGGCATGGAGAAAGGCTTTCTGCAGACCTTCCCTGCTCTTACTGGGAGGCACAATGTCAGGTGAAAGTTACAGTTAGTGGGGAAGGAGGCAGGGAAGATATTTTCCCATGTGTATCTAAGGGAGAAAAAAATATGACTCTTTAAAAATGTTGAAGTTTTAGTTACAATAGGACCATTTTAAGCCTGCCTATTGGTGAGCCCAGACTTTATTATCCCGGTCAGGTCAGCTTTGTGGTAGGGCCCTTTAGGAGAAACAGCAATAAATGCTTAAGCATGTCTGGCCTTTATTTGTATATCTGATTAGTTTAAACCTGCACAGTTTGTAGCCTAAGCCATGTATTTATTGCTCATGTGGGTCAGCCTCCATCACCATCTAATGAGTTCTAATTGGGTTCTTCTAGTTGAGAAAGAGGCTGGCCCCCCAACCCCCCAAATTTTTTTATGACTAGTCATAGCCCTGGAGTTGATGGCCTTGACTGAACTTTTCAGCGGTCATTTTGGTCCCACCCTGCACTGTTTTCATGGTAACTCTGTGCTTTTCTAGGTTTGCTGTGGAATTTGTCATCTAATGACAAACTCAAGAATCTCATGATAACAGAAGCATTGCTTACGCTGACGGAGAATATCATCATCCCCTTTTCTGGGTGGCCTGAAGGAGACTACCCAAAAGCAAATGGTTTGCTCGATTTTGACATATTCTACAACGTCACTGGATGCCTAAGGTAATGCTACCTGTACCCTGCCCTGATAGAAGATGCAATAAAAAATTAGGTAGCCCCAAGGAAGTCAGGATATATTCTGCCTTTGGTTCTTTTCTAGTTACACAGTTTGTTTGATGGTTTGTTTATTTTATTTATTTATTTATCTTTTTTAAAACAGAGTCTCGCTCTGTTGCCCAGGCTGGAGTACAGTGATCTACCTGCCTTGGCCTCCCGAAGTGCTGGGATTATAGGCGTGAGCCACCGTGCCCGGCCTACACAGTTTATTTTTTGAGAGACTTTATTTGGATGGTAACTGAAAGAATTTATTATGATAAGATGTTTATTTTATCTCCATAGTTAATCACACAGTAATACATATCAAATACCAATTTTGTGTAAAGCATTATGTTAGCTACTGAAGGCTATACAAAGATGAATAAGAAAACCCTTGGCTGGGTGCGGTGGCTCACACTTGTAATACCAGCACTTTGGGAGGCTGAGGCAGAAGGATCAGTTGAGGTCAGGAGTTCGAGACCAGCCTAGGCAACATAGCAAGACCCTGTCTCCACAAAAAAATGAAAAAATTAGCTGGACATGGTGGTGTGCACATGTAGTCCCACCTACTCAGGAGGCTGGGACAGAGAATCTCTTGAGCACAGGAGGTTGAGGTTCCAGTGAGCCATGATTGCACCACTGCACTCTAGCCTGAGTGACAGAGCAAGACCCTGTCTCAAAAAATATAAAACAAGAATATCCGTAAGAAATGTTTAGTGGAGCAGGGGACACAGATAAGCAAGTGAACTAGAAGACAGCTACAATGAAATGTGTTAGAGCAGCAGTTCTCAAAGCTGGCCACAGGTCCAGCACCACCTGGAAGTTGTTAGAATTCTCAGGTCCCACCCCAGACCTTCTGAATCAGAAACACTCAAGGTTGGGCCCAGCAATCTAGTTTTAACAAGCCTCTAGGTGATTCTGACAGTCACTGAAGTTTGCGAACTAGGATGTCAAAGGTGCAAGTGAAGTGCTGCGGGAATGCAGAACAAAGGACCATTCATGGCATCTGGTGAGATCAGAAGGGCACTAGAAAAGAGGTGTCGAGTGAGCTGGGCCTTGCTGGACTATTTTGGTAGTCAGAAATTCTCTAAAGATAAAGGACCACATTCTTGAAAGGCATAAGAAGTGCCTAAGTGGCCTTCCTCGAATCCATCTTCTGTACTGCCCATTGAATCTGCTTTTCTAGTGCACTTTGATCCATCGCTCACCTGCTTAAACATATTTCACGTCTTAAAGTTTCTCTCCAGCTCCCATTGCCTTACCACATAAAACAGAGTTCTTAGTATGGCAGATGTATTAGGACTCTTTCCATTGAAAATGGTGGGAACCGAACTTAAACTCACTGAAACAAGTCGGAATTCATTGGCCCATGTGGCTGAGATATTGCAGGTCACTTGAGGAAGTGAAGGAAGTATACCAGGAACCATGACCGTATTCCCTTTTTGGGACAGAATTCAGCATTCCTAGGACTCACTCTTTTTCTGTTTGTATGTCATCTCTGCTTGCTCTTCTTTTTTCATAGTGGGCTCATTTCCTGCAAATGCAAAGAAGCCTTCTCTACTGAGCAGATAACTTAATCGTAGGCAGCCCTTGCTTAGCCACAAAAAAAAAAAAAAAAAAGTGCACATCTTTCTTAAAATGATTGTGCCAATCACAGGGAAAGTTTTTTCCTGGCCTTGATTCAGAAAGGGGCACATCATTTGAGCAACTGTTGGCCTGGATTGTCCAAGCCTGGATCAGATACCTCCTTTTATAGCAAGGACAGCAAAATCTGTTACCATAAGAAAAGGGGTGGAAGAACTTAGTGGGTGAACCAAACAAAAATGGAAGACATCTTGGTCCATCACAGCATACACAGCCTTTTTCAGTCTATCCACAACCTTCATTACCACCTTTTTTCCCACAGATATACTTCACACCCACCAAAGTGCTTGCTTTTCCTTAGATGTCATAGTACTTTCATATCAATACTTTATTTAATTTTATTTGCCTGGTAAACATTTTCTATTATCTGCCTGTTGAATACTTAATCTCCTAACGATTTAAAACCAAAGATAAAGTTCATAATGTTCATAAATGTTCTATGAAACATTTTCCAGCTTCCCCAGCAAAAGCTAGTGCTTGTTCCTGAGGGTTCAAACGGGAGTTCATAGCCAAGTCACCACTGTTACTGATTTTGTCACATTGCTGTTATATGATAGTTGTTTACATACCTTTGCTACTATTAATAGATTTTGCCATAAAAGCTAAGCCTATGCATTTAAAAAACATTTTTAATGCCTGACACTTAGCAAAGTTTTCAGCATATAGTAAGTAAGCAAGGTATTTGAATAAAATGAATAAATGAATGAGTGAACAAATGAAAATTGATGGTGAAATTGGTGAATAATCAAGTCTGATAAGAGTATGGAGTTTGTGATAGAAAGTAATCAAACAGAAATTGGAAACATAGGCTAAAGCCAGATAGTGGCGATCTTGAGGATCACATTAAGGAGTTAATTTTTTTTTTTTTTAATTTTCGATTCAGGAAGTACATGTACAGGTTTGTCACACAGGTACATTGCGTGATGCCGAGGTTTGGCCTTCTAATGTGCCGATCACTCAAATAGTGAACTTAGTACCCAATAGATGGATTTTCAACCCTTTTTCCTGCTCTGTCCCTCCCTGCTTTTGAAATCCCCAGTGTTTATTGTTCCCATCTTTGTGTCTATTTGTACCCAGTGTTTAGCTCCCATTTTTAAGTGAGAACATGTGATATTTGGTTTTCTGTTGCTGCATTAATTTGCTTAGAATAATGGCCTCCAGCTGCATCCATGTTGCTGCCAAGGACACGATTTCATTCTTTTTCTTGGCTGTGTAGTATTCCATGGTGTATGTATACCACATTCTCCTTATCCAGTCCCCTATTGATGGGAACCTAGCCATGTCTTTGTTATTGCGAACAGTCCTGCGATGAACATGCGAGCGCATGTGCCTTTTTGATAGAACAATTTATTTTCCTTTGTATATACACCCAGTAATGGGATTGCTGGATTGAATGGTAATTCTATTTTCAGTTCTTTGAGAAACAGGAGTTAATTTTTTTCTTCTGTAAGCAAAATTAGCTAGTATGGAGGACAGAGATATGATAATTTTTGTGGGAAGAAGAAGAATAATAGTATTAACAGGAAAGGTGTATTGTGAAGGTAAAAATCTAAAGGCAACGATGTTAGTTACAAATCTCTTCCTGTAGTCTCCCCTTATGATTGATGAGTAGAAGCTATACATTGGTTGGTTGTAGCAATGCCCTGGTTGGCACACATTTTTCAGAACATATAGTAGCTGAATACACTCCAGTCAGAATAGCACTGTTTTAAACAGTGTTTGCAAAACAGTCCAGACCACTCATTTGAATTTCACCTTCCAAAAGCAGAATATAGCCAAAATCTGGGAAGTGAGTGCCATAATGTATATGCTTACTAAACTGTCCATTCCGATTTCATCTGTATATCTAATTTATAACAATAATAGCTAACATTTATTGTTGTTATGTTCTAGAAACTGCTCTAAATGCTTTATGAGGCTTTTCTCAGTTTACTCTCAGTAGCACTCCCTACAAGATAGGTTTTCCTCATTTTATAGATGAGGAAACAGCCTCAGAGAGGTTGAGTGATTTTCCTAAAGTCATATGGCTAGTAGTAGACAGAGTTGAAACTCAAATGCCGGAAGCTTGTCTTCAAATTCGAAGGTCTTAGTCAGTATGCTAGATACATTAGTATTTGTCACATGTCCACAGATTGTGATTTTGTGGATAAAGCCCCTGCCCTTCATAGTCTCAAGACATCACAGGGTCAGATATTGCCAATTTACAGACATATTCAGTTGTCATTATGGGCACTGTATCAGCATTTCAGTGTTGTTCTTTTTGAAGTTCTGTGCATGTAGAACTCTGCACTGCATTTCATATAATCAAAGAAGATACAAAGATGAAGCATATGAAATGGGACACCTTTCCAAGGTAGGAGATGGCATTGTAGACAACTTCAGGGTAAATGTTGTCACAATGAATAGAAAGGCCACTAGGAGAATACTCAGGATATGAGTCAGAATGTAAGAAAAGAACTCCATGGAACCTGCAGTCACGTAGCATTGATTTCCAGGACATAGAGGTATCTGCTGAGTAGTTGCTCATTTATGTCTACAGCTCACTCTTAAAAATCTTAAGACAGATGTTGACTCGTTCTAGTAAGAGTTAATCTTAGCTATATTTTTAAAAATCATGAATGTTACCGAATATCTTAATTGCCACAAATTCATTGGTGTTATTTTCAGAGCCGAGAGTGTATTCAGAGCCGACAGTGAACTAAATTGAGTAGTATTTCAGGCATTGTGTTTGATTTAGATTACTATAGTAAATTATTTCCATCCATTTTGGAGAAAAACTTGTGCATACAACAGTGAACTTTCTCCGTTTACTAGACTTGACATTGAGATCATTTCTGGTCTGCATGTGGCAATGGTGCTGAGTAAATCTGCTCTGCATATAAAATGTTTGCTTAACTAATGAACTTGTGTTAGTGACTTCAGTTCTGCCCATCTGAAGCTTCTATGGTGAGATCACTCATCTAAGAGAACATGCATAACTTATCCTTCAAAAAAGACTAGCACTGTCAGGTCCACCACCTTGAGGATGTATCGGATCATTTGTCTTTAGGATGAGCATGTGCCCACAACAGCATTTACCACAGGCATCAGTGCTGTCTTTAGGTCCCTTTGGAATTACATACTTTTCACAATTGAAGTCACTCACTTAAAGGTGATGCAGATTTTGCAATAGGGATAACCATGTGCCCACGTAAGTTTCCAATTTTTTCTTAAGTAATACTACACTAGCTTAATGAGTGGGAAAATCCAAGATAGGAGAGGAAAATA
This sequence comes from Homo sapiens, assembly GCF_000001405.40. NCBI lineage: Eukaryota > Metazoa > Chordata > Mammalia > Primates > Hominidae > Homo > Homo sapiens. The sequence continues at coordinate 32,836,083 of NC_000012.12, read as the reverse complement.
AATTGTACACTCCAGTGTGTTGGAGCCAGCAAGTGAGAGTGATTCTTGGCATTTCAGCATAATTCCATGTTCAGTGACATCATGTTGGTAGCTTGAAACTAGCCATGATGGGAGTATTTTACTAAGAAACTGGCAAACAAGCCAGGCATGGTGGTGTGTGCCAGTAGTCTCAACAACTTGGGAGGCTGAGGCAGGAGGATTGCTTGAGCCCAGAGGTCCAGCCTGGGCTACATGGACCCATCTCTAAAAACAAAGAAAGAAAGAAATTGGTAAACTCTGTAAGTCAGACATCTCCCCCTCCCCCAGCCCCAGAAAGCTGGTTGTTAAACATTTATCAGCACGCTGCTAGCATTGAATTTCCATTAGTTGACTACTTTAACATCACAATCTAGATAACTAAGGTACAGGCATATTTCTCTAAAACATTCCTTTTCAAAGAAGAAACAATTCCTTTGTTTTCTTGGACAGTATAAGGAAACTTCAGCATGTTTTCTTCTTCTTGCTTTTTTTTCTTTCTTTTTTTTCCTCTTTTTCTTTTTTTCCTCTTTTTCTTCTTCAGTGGAGAAAAGCTGCTAAAATATCTTTTTTTTTCACAGCCTCCTTTATTTACTTGGAGTAAGAAGTATAACTTAGTTAAAATATGTATTGCAGTTATCAGATTGCTCTTCCAAATATTTTAAATTCCAAAATATTTATATAATAGGCTTAGAATTTTAAACTACCCAAAAGTAGGCCGGGCACGGTGGCTCATGCCTGTAATCCCAGCACTTTGGGAGGCCAAGGCAGGCGGATCACAAAGTCAGGAGTTCAAGAGCAGCCTGCCCAACATGGTGAAACCTCATCTCTACTAAAAATACAAAAAATTAGCTGGGTGTAGTGGCGGGCACCTGTAATCCCGGCTACTCGGGAGGCTGAGGTAGGAGAATCGCTTGAACCCGGGAGGCAGAGCTTGCAGTGAGCCGAAGTCGCGCCACTGCACTCCAGTCCGGGCAACAGAGCAAGACTCTACTTCAAAAAAAAAGAAAAAAAAAAAGAAATGGCTGTCTTCTTTGATTCCATACCCTCCTAGACACACACACACACACACACACACACACACACACACACGCCTATTGTGAGTCCCTTTTTTTTTTTTAATTTAGTGTGAATTTATACTGTGGCTCATAGTATCAGTTCCTAGGGCATTGGTGTGACCTGACTATTAACTCTGTTTTCTACATCACTGATTGGAAAACCCCTGGATGTAGCATCAATAAAACCAATGTTTATTATTCGGGAGAAGTCTGAAATTGCTGCCAAAGTTTTATCATCATTTCTGCATATTATTCTTATAGCTTCTTTCCTCCTCTTTCTTTTCTTCTTTCTTCCCTCCTCCCCCCCAGTCTTCTTTCTTCTCTTAAAGGACAAGAACTGGAAGCAATTTAGAGGTAATAAATTAAAATGCCTCAGAGTTCAGGTAGGCACTTAAGTGGGCAGGTGTAAGACCATGAGGAATGGTAGGGGCTCCATCAGACTAGAGAAGGGAAAAAACACTTGCCCCAAGAGCAGTGAGAGTCAAGTTTTGGAAAACATTTAGGTCAAAAACAAACACATCTAGGGAGCTTCTGTTAGTGGCCTCATTCTTCAGGTGAAGAAATTAAGTCCCCAAGACTCTTCCGCAATTGTAGAACCAGCTATCAGAAATTTGAGAATGACAGCTAGCTAGTCCAGCCTTCTTGGTATTCTGCCACTGGTCTGCCTTTATTCTCCCTCTTATCCAACCCTATTGTTATTCCTTGAGTACTTGTTGAAGGCCTGCTCTATCCAAACCACTATTTAAATTTCTGAGATTTCAAAAGGGAATGGGACCTATTTTTGCCCTGGAGGAACTCTGGGTTTCGTGGAGGAAACTGGCACCTGAAGAGATCATGACAATGCATTTGGTAAGAGATTTAAGAGAGGGATGAAAGTTGCTTCACTAACTTTGCCTTGGGAGTTGGGAATTTTTTCTGGAGAAAGTCAAACTTAAAGAGCTGTTAAAGGATGAGTAGGTGTTTAAATGTCCCTCTCAGTCTTTAGTTCATCATTCTATCATTAGGTCATCACCAACGTTCTTAAATACTGTAGTCATATTAAAAATGTGAATTCATAAAGCCCTAAAAAGTCACTTTCCTGAGTTACTATAGTTTCTTGACCGTCCACTTACGAGACAGGCTTATAAAATTGCCACCTTAAGATAAAGGTGCAGTCTGCTTTGTGAAGGCCTCCCCAGAATTTGTCATTACACATTTTAAAACATATTCTTTTTTCTCAATGCATTTTATGCCTGTGTATGCTGGTTAAAGAAGAAAAGCAATTTGTAATGCATTTCTCCTACAAATGGCATAAACTTCACTTTTTCCCACCTGTCATCGTATAGTAAATGTGTTTTGAATGTATAATATCCTTTTATATATTAAATTTTATTACTTAAAATTATTTAAATTCTTAAAAGAAATTTTCATTGTCTCTTACACTGGAAATCTAGCTGGAGTGGGGAGTTGTCAGAGGAAGCAAACCATACCTTTGGAAAGAAAGGCTATAACTATCAGTCTTGTTTCTAATTAGTCACAGAGTTAAGGGCAAGTTGTTTTGGAATATCAATATGAGCTACTCTCTGGAAAATGAATGTCTCCATGTACATTTTTAATGCATTCAGTTACAACTGTCTTCTCCAGCACATACACACCAAAAAAACCACATACCAAATATAATTTTTAATGCGTATCTTGGTACCAAACTTTAGAAATTTACTGCATCTACATTTTCATGATTATGCATTTTCTTTTCTTTCTTTTTGTATTATTTATTTGTTTATTTTTTGAGACAGAGTCTTGCTCTGTCACCCTGGCTGGAGTGCAGTGGCATGATCTCAGGTCACTGCAACCTCTGCCTGCCAGGTTCAAGCAATTCTCCTGTCTCAGCCTCCCGAGTAGCTGGGACTACAGGTGCACGGCACCTCGCCCAGCTGGTTTTCATATTTTTAGTAGAGACGGGGTTTCACCATATTGGCCAGGCTGGTCTCAAACTCCTGACCTCATGATCTGCCTGCCTGGCCTCCCAAAGTGCTGGGACTACAGGTGTGAGCCAGCGTGCCTGGCCTGTATGCATTTTCATTCTAGTTACCTTTGCTCATCCATATCTTATTCTGAATACTCATGACTTATTTGATCTAGCCTTGTGCATAGTCCCAGATAATTAAGAAGATAATTAAATCAGGGTCTAATTTTCTTGACTATCAAATAGCTATTTTTCTTTTTTGTAAGATGTAGACCCCAAAAGAGGCCAGAACTTACTATTGAAAATCAGAATCTAAATGCATTTACTTCTGGAGAAGAATTTACCATAAAACTAGAAGAGTAATGCTAGATGAGATAGTGCAAACAAAATGGAAACTTGATGAAAGTATCTAGATAGTTCACCCCAGAGATTGGCTTTCCCAAAAATAGAAAGACAACTGAATCATCAACTTCAGCCTCAGTTATTTGGCTAATTATTTAAACTCTTTATGTTTCATGTGTAAACATAAGCAATATGAAGTTAATAAATAATGGAATTGGCAATATTTCTAATGTTATACTATCATAACCAGTCATAACCATATTTTCTGTTGGTTACTTTAGATATACAAACAAGTACATGGTTTAATTAATTAAATTACTTTGTAAATTTTTTTTTTTTCTTTTTTTGAGACAGACTCTCATTCTGTCACCAGGCTGGAGTGCAGTGGCACAATCTTGGCTCACTGCAACCTCCGCTTCCCAGGTTCAAGTAATTCTCCTGCCTCAGCCTCCTGAGTAGCTGGGACTACAGGTGCGCACCACCACGCCCAGCTAATTTTTTGTATTTTTAGTAGAGACGGGGTTTCACCATGTTGGCCAGGATAGTCTCAATCTTCTGATCTCGTGATCTGCCTGCCTTGGCCTCCCAAGGTGCTGGGATTACAGGAGCCACCCCGCCTGGCCAGCTTTTTCTTTAAGTAAATTTAAAAGGTGGAAGTGGTATTTAAATGGGTAAATAAGATCCTGATTTTTAAAAATGATTGTTTTATGAACTAAGCTTCAGGGTTTTAGGCCATTATTTTGAAATCTCTCAACAGTTCTTAAGTTGTTAAAGCAAACAAATAAAATCAAAACAAATATGGCTATGCTTGCCTGGTCACCCATGTTCTTCCTGAACCCAGTGTTTTTAAGAGTACATGTCTCACTGAGATGCTGAAGCAGCCCATCTACAACCAGTTGACCACCTTACAAAGGTCCCTGTTCTTCAGACTATCATTTTCCACTGTCCTATTCATATCTTTACCAGATTGGTCCAGATTAAAAGTTGTACTTTACAGAAATTATGTAACACTTCTCTTTGCTAAAGAGACTCTTTATTCTTATCAATCAGTGCATAAATATTGACTGCCTGAAAATACATGAATAGGAACAATACAGAGGAATAAAAATCAGGAAAGGAAACAAAAGATTAATTTTTACTCATTATATCAAGTGGACTCTTTTTGCTGGGCTTTCTTAATCGGTTAGCTTATGAGTTGAGTCTTGGGCAGAAAAAAGAATTCACAAGAATGTCTTTCTCAGATACTTTTAATACCATCTTCATGTTTAAAGAAAAATATCTGTGTATAGCTCAAATTGGTGTTTTATGAACTGTATTTTGTGACACAAGGTCTTATTCCAAAAAATTTAAGACTATCATCATAATCAAAATGACTGCTAAAATTTTTTTTATTCATTATTATAAAAAGTGAGTGGGCTGATACATCAGGATAAAGCAACTGATGATTTTGTCACTATTGTGTGGTTAAAATCTGTGCCTATCTTGGAGGTATGGATTGAGCATCATATTATTCTACTCTAGGTCTTAAACATCTTTCTTATTCCTGGTCTGACATTCCAAACATCTCCTTTACATGTCAAGAATGCTTATTCAAGTTGCAATAGCTCTTAGGTATATTTTTAAAATTATAGTTTGCTGTTTATAATTAATTTTAAATGGAATTTGGGATTCTGTCCTACCTAACATATTCTAGCTAATTGAGAGGAAATTAATGTAGCCTACCAGCCAGATGATTACTGGCTGAATTAACTATTCAGAATGCTTTTGGAAAACCTGAAAATGCAGGAAAGCAGAGCTAAAGGATTTTTTTTTTTTTTTTAGATGCAGTCTCACTCTGTTGCCTAGGCTGGAGTGCAGTGGCACTATCTCGGCTCACTGCAACCTCTGCCTCCCAGGTTCAAGTGATTCTCCTGCCTCAGCCTCCCAAGTAGCTGGGATTACAGGCATGCGCTACTACACCCAGCTAATTTTTTTATTTTTAATAGAGACAGGGTTTCACCATGTTGGCCAGGCGGTCTTGAACTCCTGACCTCAGGTGATCTGCCCACCTCGGTCTCCCAAAGTGCTGGGATTACAGGCATGAGCCACCGTGCCTGGCCAGAGCTAAAGGATTTTTAAGGATAGATTTTCTCCTCTACCACCTTCTAGTTTCTTGGTGTGGAACAGATGACAACATAGCTTTTTTCCATTAATTTTTCTTATCCCCGTAGGACCAAGATGTGTAGGTTGTAGGGCCTTGTTCTACCTCCCAATGTTCTCTATTTGCAGAATGAACAGCTGACTTTGGCTGATGTTTGCTGATACCTTCAGGAAATAATGTTGACTTCAGAATAACAGACAAGCCTTCTTTTGGCATCGAGTTTTTCTTCCTCTGCCAGTTCAAATGAGGCTCCCCTTTTGTTGTGTGCAACCACAAGCTGACTGTACTGCTTCTCTTAGTTAATCACAGACAAGGCCCAACTGTTTGATATGTATCAGGTGGGAGTTAAACAAAAGCCCAAGCCTAAATCTCAAATAACAAGAGGAAGAAGGATGCTTCCATGTCAGCCGATGTCTCATCAAGTACCTACTTAGTCTTGGAATAGACTCTAACTTTGCCTACCAAGTGTTTATCTGACTGGTACCACTTAGAGTCTTACCATATAATTTACATTACACAGTATTAGGAAGTCTATACTTGTTGGTGATGCGTGCATAATTTTTTAAAACCATTGAGGTGATCACTATCTCAGAGTGCTGATTAGAACTTCAAGACTGGTCCCAGGCCAGGTACAGTGGTTTACGCCTGTAATCCCAGCACTTTGGGAGGCTGAGGCAGGCGGATCACCTGAGGTCAGGAGTTCGAGAGTAGCCTGGCCAACATGGTGAAACCCTGTCTCTACTAAAAATACAAAAATTAGCTGGGCGCAGTGGCACACACTTGTGATCCCAGCTACTCAGGAGGCTGAGGAAGGAGAACCCGTTGAACTTGGGCAGCGGAGGTTGCAGTGAGCCAAGATTTCGCCACTGCACTCCAGCCTGGGCAACACAGTGAGACTCCATCTCAAAAAAAATAAAATAAAATAAAAGACTGGTCCCACAGCCACCAGGCCTTGTATACAATACATGCACATAAACTGTGTGTTAGTTAAAAAACCATACCCATTATCAAGTAGCAATAGTCCCATTTAAAAAACAAAATTTTGGCTGGTCACGGTGGCTCACGTCTGTAATCCCAGCACTTTGCAGAAGGATTGCTAGAAACCAGGAGTTTGAAACCAGCCTGGGCAATGCCATGAGACCCTGTCTCTACAAAAAATAAATCCACTGAGCATGGTGACATGCGCCTGTAGTCCCAGCTACTCAGGAGGCTGAGGTGGGAAGATCCCTTGAGCCGAGGAGGTTAAGGCTGCAGTGAGCTGTGATTGTGCCACCACACTCCAGCCTGGGCAACAGAGTGAGACTCTATCTCAAAAAAAAAAAATAAGAAAAAATAAATAAAAAATAAAGAAATTTCTGGGCCAGGCACAGGGGCTTACACCTGTAATCCCAGCACTTTGGGGGCCAGGCTGGAGGATCACATGAGGCGAAGAGTTCAAGACCAGCCTGGGCAACATAGACTCTGTCTGTACAAAAAATAAATTAGCTGGGCTCGGCAGTGCATGCCTATAGTCGCACCTACTCAGATGGCTGAGATAGGTGCACTGCTTGAGCCTGGAAAGTTGAGGCTGCAGTGAGGTATGATCATGCCACTGCACTACAGCCTGGACGATAGAGTGAGACTATCTCAAAAAAACAAAACAAAACAAAAAAAAATTTCTGCCTCCTAAAGTTATTTATTTTGTATGGTGGTGAAGTGTCTTGAAAAGATGCACTCAGACGTTATTGTTCCCGGCCATTCTCATGTCCTGGAAACTAACTGTAGCCTTTTACTTTAACCATCTCCTTCAGCTCATTGTTTCCCCAGGCCAGCTGACCACACACTGTACACTAAGCTTGGATGTTCTGTGTTGTAACAAACTTCCTTTCAGCACTGGTCAATTAAGCATATTTGACAGCACCCCTGCACATAGCCACAGACAAACTACTTTATATCCTACCTTATGTGGAAGAGCCTGTAACAATCCTGTTAGAGCAGTTAATTCTGATTTTAAATGAGAATCACAGGTCAGAATTTCCCAGAATGAAATTCTAGGGTACCCTAATTTCAGGAATTTTGTGAAAATTACAGATCATGCTATTTATAAGTTGCCTACCATAATGTCTAGTGCAAACACTAAATTGCAGCTGTTTTTTTCCATTTGTCACTGTCCATTCTTTGGTTTACCATATGAATCTAAGATTTACTCACACTGTCATTAATCTCAACCATTAACATACCATTCTTTCTTTTAATTCTATCAAGGTCCAGGGTGTTGTGTTTTCTTTTCTCTTTTTCATTGTGACACTCAGGAATGTGTGAGATAAGAGGTCCTAGAGGGAGTGAAAAGTCACAGATTTGCTTTCTGATAAAACACCTGAATCCCCCTAAATATGTGAAGCTCCGTGACCATTTCAGAGACACACAGAGGTCCAGATTCTATTTCTTCCCCCATTACAAGTCACATTGCTAGAGAGATTCTTCCCGATATCAAGCACTGGCCACAAGTCAAACTGGCGTCTTCCCATTTGGGACCAGTGGAGGTGAAGAACTCCAAATAATTCCTGCCTTTATGTGAAGAGTAATTTGTCTCCTTCCTCACTCTACTTCTCCTAAGGCCCTGGCCCCTTGCCTTCAACCCCTAAGGACCTGTTTTTAAATTTCAGTATATAACAGTATGCAGTTTTAGTTTTCTTAAAGGTCTGCAGATATTTACTCAGACTTAGGCTTGATTATACCAGAGGAAATAAACCCATCGTTTAATCAAATGCAAACGACAGGCACTAAATTACACGTTTTTAATATATTCTATTGGTAACTTTAATAAGCACTATTTATTAAGTAACTACCATGTTTGTATGCTCATTCTCTTTTAATTTTCGATAAGGTAATTGTTTCAGTATATTTCACTTACAGTTTTGAGATATTTTTCTATTGAGCCACCATTGGGTAATGTATGGGAAACCAATCAATAAATAGTTCTTATGATTCAAGAGATACGTTGTAAAAAAGATCAATTCTGCCTAAAGGTAGCCATGTTAATTTTCTGATTCCCACAAGCTTAAGTACTAGCTGTTAAAAAAAAATATTTTAAGATGGATGTATCATTTTCTATAGTTATTGGTTATTTTCGGAATGGTGCAATAACAAATTACTTTCTGTCTAATGACTTCTATTCATGGATGCAGTGGTATAAAATAATCTACCCTTATCATTCATATTTCTGTGTAGTTGAGTAAGGTGGGAACTATTTTTGATATGCAGGAGCAAATACTAAAGCAATGGGGTTCCATGCACTTTCTGTCAGCAAAAGTATCAACTGCCAGAAACCCCTGATAAGTCCCATTTCAAGCAAGTAGAGTCTGGATAATACCAAACAGCAAGACAACAGTTAGTACTTGTGAACTGGCAGTACTGCCAACTTGACTTACCATTCTAACCCGAAATAAACACCCCGGAGTTAAACAAAGCTAAGTCATCCATCTGCAAGGTATGTAGTGGGCTTAGCCAGGAAGAAAGACTTTTTGATTTGTCAAAGCAATTTTAAACTACTGCCATTTATCCTGGCCAGAGGTTGAAAAGGCCAAAGGGAAGCTTTTAAACATATGATAACATCATGTAGTTGGGGACATATGGTATTTGCAGACTGAATGAATGCTAGCTGGGATTTGCTCTGTTCTGGGCCACCCTGGGTGTAGAATAAAGAACAGCCCTCTTTTCCTGACTTTACCACTAATTTGCTGTCACCAGGAAAAGTAACGGAAACTTTTGGCTTCTAGTTTTTCATGTATAAAATAAGGAGACTGGAAAAGATGCTTTTTCAGTTTCTGTCAAGCTTCTGAATCCCCATGATTCTTAAAGGGCTCACAAAGTAGATAGAGGATCTTGGTTGAAATGATCATTCTTTGAAAAAAGCTAAGTAAAAAATTGTTTTATTTCCAGCTTATGAACCCATTCATTTTTTTTTAAATGAACAAACTGTCCGAGTTTTTCAGGTACAGTAAAAATTAATAAGGAAGTAGAAGGGTCAAATGAGAATCAGTCACAGAAGAGATTTTGTTAAAAAATTCATTGTATCAATTCAGCAACCATTAAATTGTTAGTATATTCTTAGTTTTAGGTATGTTATCTCCTCAACTGTCACGTTGAATCATGAAATTGCCATTTTTGAGGGTTAAAACAGTCGGGTTTTGTCAGTTTCCAGAGTTCAACCTATAGATATGATCTCTGTGAAAGCAAGGTATAATATTGTGCATCTTCCTCTCATTCCCTTTAGTTCTTTTTTTTTTTTTTTTTTTTGAGACGGTGTCTAGCTTTGTCACCCGGGCTGGAGTGCAGTGGCACGATCTCGGCTCACTGCAAGCTCCACCTTCCGAGTTCACACCATTCTCCTGCCTCAGCTTCCCGAGTAGCTGGGAATACAGGCGCCCACCACCATGCCTGGCTAATTTTGTTTGGTACTTTTAGTAGAGACGGGTTTTCACCATGTTAGCCAGATGGTCTTGATCTCCTGACCTCATGATCCGCCTGCCTCGGCCTCCCAAAGTGCTGGAATTACAGGTGTAAGCCACCACACCCAGCCACCTTTAGTTCTTGATGTAATGCTTAGGCACCTTTGTTTCTTTGACAAATATGCACTGAAAGCAGTATTTTGAGGCAGAAGGCCTTTTGGAAATCACTTATATTATATTACTTTATTTTGTTAATTTTTTAGACAGGGTCTTACTCTGTCACCCAGGCTGGAGTGTAGTAATGCTCACTGCAGCCTCAACCTCCAGGCTCAAGCAATCTTCTTCCTCAGTCTCCCAGGTAGCTGGGACTACAGGCACATGCCACCATGCGTAGCTAATTTTTTGTATTTTTTCATAGAGACAGGGTTTAGCCATGTTGCCCAGGCTGGTCTTAAACTCCTGGGCTCAAGCAGTCCTCCTGCCTTAGCCTCCCAGAATGCTGGGATTACAGGCATGAGCCACAGCTTCTGGCCTATATTATTTTAAAGATGAAGAAAGTAAGGCTCAAAAATGTCTCAAAGTTGCAGTTCTTTTTGATGTTCAGAATGACACTAACACATTATAAAGAAAAAGTCCTGAACATATTCTGGATATTCTACCTACCAGTAAAAGAAACTGATCTGGGCCAGGCGTGGTAGCTCACGCCTGTAATCCCAGCACTTTGGGAGGCCAAGGCGGGCGGTTCACAAGGTCAAGAGATAGAGACCATCCTGGCCAACCAACATGGTGAAACCCCGTCTCTACTAAAAATACAAAAATTAGCTGGGCATAGTGACGCACGCCTGTAGTCCCAGCTACTCGGGAGGCTGAGGCAGGAGAATCGCTTGAACCCGGGAGGTGGAGGTTACAGTGAGCCGAGATCGCGCCACTGCACTCCAGCCCTGGTGACAGAGTGAGACTCCGTCTCAAAAAAAAAAAAAAAAAAAAAAAAGAAACTGATCTGATACATTTTATAGGGACAGTTCTTAGCAATTAAAGTTGGGAATAGAGGTGATTCTCAAGTTCTTAAAACCTGAAGGCCCTATTTTTTGTCATTCTTGTTGACTGAGGTATTGACATTTTTGGAAAAAAAAATATTTTTTTAAGTAGTTAATGCTAGTAAGAAAAACTTAATCTAAAGGAAGGTAGTAACAATAATACCAGACTATACACATGATCTGAATCTGCACTGTAATCCCCAAATGCATTACTTTCCTGTATTTGATAAGTTTCATTTCTCTATCAGTAAACAACTTCCAATTATAGGTTTAGTTACTGTTTATAGAAAGGTGTCATGACTTAGCAATATTAGAAATAGACTAAGTGTAAAGATATTTATAGGTCATACTTTTGACTGAAGCCTTACACACTGCAAACTCTCATGTTTTCTGTAACATCTCTCTGCCATTTTAATGATAAAATAATCGCATTTTAGAGCATCTGATTTAATATTTGTCAATAACAGTTTATACTGAAATTTAGAAAACCACAAAGAATGTAGTCCAACACACTGTCTTTACAAGTGAGGAAACTGAGGCCCAGAGCAACTTTAAGTTACTTAAAGTTAAAACATGGGGCAAATTGGGACTTGGCATCCAGTATATTATAATGTCTAATGTGCCATTTGCTCTTGTTCTAGTTGCAAAAACATTTGCCTCATATCCACACTCAAAATGGAGTGAAGATTAAGTAAATAATGTTTTGATCATGGTACTTGGAGTGAAGTAGAAGACTTATGACACAATTACGTGTTGTTTGGAAATATTTAGAAAGTATGTTCATAGTTGATCTATTAAGCAGTCAATGATTTGTTGACTGGGCAAGTCTGCCACACTTTTACAAATTTGCCAGTTTCCAAACACCTGGAAGAAGCATCAAGTAAAACTTCAAAACAAAGACCTGTTGGATACACAGCCTAGACTTACTTTTTTGTTTTTTGTTTTTTCTGATAGAAACATGAGTTCTGCTGGCGCTGATGGGAGAAAAGCGATGAGAAGATGTGACGGACTCATTGACTCACTGGTCCATTATGTCAGAGGAACCATTGCAGATTACCAGCCAGATGACAAGGTAATTCAAGAGATAAATATCCTGTTTTGTCTTACTAAGATGCTTCAGAATATTCTTAAGATAGCCGCTTGGTTTTAGGTTTATTCACTGATTCATTTACTGAGCCTAAGATCTTCCATTCATCCTTAGAAATATTAAAACCTAGGCCAGGCATGGTGGCTCACGCCTGTAATCCCAGCACTTTGGGAGGCTGAGGCAGGCAGATCACGAGGTCAGGAGATTGAGACCATCCTGGATAACATGGTGAAACCCCGTCTCTACTAAAAATACAAAAAATATAGCCGGGCGTGGTGGCGGGCACCTGTAGTTCCAGCTACTCAGGAGGCTGAGGCAGGAGAATGGCATGAACCCCAGAGCTTGCAGTGAGCAGAGATTGCGCCACTGCACTCCAGCGTGGGCGACAGAGCAAGACTCTGTCTCAAAAAAAAAAAAAAGAAATATTAAAACCTATTGCCTTATTTTTCTATTTTCCAGGCTCCAATGTCTGTCTGTCTAACCACACTATGTGGATATTTGAAAGGAGCCCAAATGCTACATGGTCAGCAATGAATTTTAATGTATCTCTTTTTTCATTCCCAAACTTGTTCCTTCTTTTTATAATCCTTTTTTTTTTTTTTTTTTTGGAGGCAGAGTCTAGCTTCATCACCCAGCCCAGGCTGGAGTGCAGTGGTGCGATCTCAGCTCACTGCAACCACTGCCTCCTGGGTTCAAGCAATTCTCCTGCCTCAGCTTCCCAAATAACTGGGATTACAGGTGTACGCCACCATGCCCAGCTAATTTTTTTTGTATTTTTAGTAGAGACAGGGTTTTGCCATGTTGGCCAGCCTGGTCTTGAACTCCTGACCTCAGGTGATCCATCACCTCAGCCTCCCAAAGTGCTGGGATTACAGGCGTGAGCCACAGCACCTGGACTATAATCCTTCTTAATAATCATCACCATCCACCAAAAGAAGATGGAAATCTGAGTAATTGTGTGCTGTCTACCTCTGAAAAGGCTTTCAGTTCTTACACTTCCCTCTAATGCTTCTAATGTTTTCCTACATTGTGCATCTTTCATGCCGATTATTGCAATAGCCTCCTAGTTGGTCCCTATAAACAGTATCTCCTCCCCTTCTCCAGCTCAACATGGCTAGTAAGTTACGTATCTAAGCTATACAGTTGTTCTGGACACACTCTTTAGAAAGTAAACTAAAAAGACTCAGCCTCTACTTCTTAGCATTGTACTCCTGACTGTTCATGAAAACCTTAGCTTTTCTAGCCATACTCATTGCATTTCCCCCAGGCAACCCGCAGTTTAAGCACACCCAGTTGCATCTGGTAAACCTTGTAAGAGCTAAAGCCTGTGTCCTGTGATATCACACCTGCAAGGATATCTATATGTATACGATCAATATTCTTGTCCTGTTTTCTCAGGCCACGGAGAATTGTGTGTGCATTCTTCATAACCTCTCCTACCAGCTGGAGGCAGAGCTCCCAGAGAAATATTCCCAGAATATCTATATTCAAAACCGGAATATCCAGACTGACAACAACAAAAGTATTGGATGTTTTGGCAGTCGAAGCAGGAAAGTAAAAGAGGTATATTGGGAAGTTTTTGAAAGAATGAGAAAGGGAGAGAATGAGAGAGAGTGTGTGTTTGTGTATATGTGTATGTCTAAGTACTTGGTATATATCGGCACTATTTTAAGTTATTTTAATTCTTACATCAACCTTTTGAAGTGTGTATTATTAATACCCTCATTTACCAGTGAGGAAACAGAGACACAGTAAGATTAATTTTCCTGGAATAATTCAGCAAATAAGTGGAAGAGATTGAATACAATGCCAGGCAGTCTGGCTCCAGATTTTCATTGCTACCCATGAACCGTACTGCTTTATGCCTTATAGGTTAGGAAATAAGCTTAATGCAGCATAGCTAATTGTATATAAATTGTTTTTATTAAAGTCGGCCCTGATATTTGGCCTTGGGTATTCTAAAAACAAACTTTGGACATACTAAAAGCAAACCTCATAGGAAGGAATACATATTTATTTCCATACTGATATGAAAACTAAGAGAATGTAACCTCCCCTCCTTCTCTGAGTATCGTGGTATTTGTGGAAACCAGCTGGTAAATTTAGAACCCTGGTGCTATCCTGGACACTTTCACAAGACTCTGAGGGAACAGGCCTGTTTTTCTTATCTACAGGGTGGTTGTGACTAATTTAGCTTTTAGCTCAACAGCAGCCTGAAAACCATTCTAGAATGACCTATGCTTAATTCTCTGAATTTTCTCTCACTGGGAGAAATATCAAGTTAGGGGTGTGGAGTGTTATTAGGAAGAAATAATCATTATGGGCTAAAAGTTAAGTGATTAGAAATTATATATATTTGCTTTTAAAATTTCTATTTCAAGGGCTTCTTATGCAAATTATGAGCCTTTCTAGACAGTATTTCTGGTCTCCTGGTTTGAGTGTGAAATTATAGCCATCACCTGACATGCATTAATTCTGGATTCCTTTTGTGTGTGGTCAGCAATACCAGGACGTGCCGATGCCGGAGGAAAAGAGCAACCCCAAGGGCGTGGAGTGGCTGTGGCATTCCATTGTTATAAGGATGTATCTGTCCTTGATCGCCAAAAGTGTCCGCAACTACACACAAGAAGCATCCTTAGGAGCTCTGCAGAACCTCACGGCCGGAAGTGGACCAGTGAGTATTGGGCCTGATTTCCTACTTTTTAAAATAATGATATTGTAGACATACCTACATTCAATTCAGAGATGAAACAGTGAGGGAAGAGAAAAAGGTTTCTTATTTTAGTAAAGACAATTCTCAGAAATTACAGAGGGCTTCGGTCTCAGCTTATGCAAAGTCAAGTCAGGCTGCTTGACTGACAAGTCAAGTCAGTACTCTTTCAGTTACAGATCTCAGAATCCTGCCTCAAGCTGGTTTAAGCAAAAAAGAGGAAATTTTTGGCTTATGGCACTGAAAACTCCAGGGTGGGCCTTCTTTCTGTCGTGACTGGACTTAGGTGCACCAGTGATTACAGTTGACTTTCTTCATCTCCGGGCTTGGTTTTCCTCTGCTGGGTTTGTTCTCAAAGGCTCTCTCCATAGGGTAACAAAGACAGCCATGAATTATTTCAGGCTCACGTTTTATCAGCCCAATGTGTCCCCCACAAGAAACAAACTACCATTTTCCCAATAGTGTTGTTAAGAAGTTGGAGAATATGTCTCACGGGCTGGCTTGGGCCTCTTGCCCATTTCTGAACCAATACCTGTGTCTATGAGGCTATGATGTTCTAATTGGCCAAGTCTGGATCATATGCCCAGATGTGCACTTCCAGGGCATGGGTTTGATTGGATGAGGGCCACTGCCACTTGTACCACATGGGCTGAAATGGTAAAGGAGTGCTCCCTAATGGAAAATGAGACTGTTACTACCAAAGGAAGGAGGAATAAATGCTGGGAAGGCAAAAACAACAGCAGATGTCTACTGCAGTATGGAGTTGGAAAGGCCATCTGTGCTTTTGTGTCCCAGAAATTCAACTACAAAATAAAGAGCTGATCCTCTTTCCAGATGCACTTACTTTATAGCAGCAAAGTCAAAATAATTAAAATAGTAAAAGGTTATTCCCTTCCCCATGTATTTTATACCCTTCCTATATATTAAGGTATTCTGTAAGTATTTAATGATTTAAACTAAGCTTGTATTCTTTGCCTTGGTCATGAAACGATTAGAATAAACTCCCCCCAAATAGCTCATTGTCTGTCTAGTCTCCAATTATCTCTGTAGAGAAAAGTACTATTGTAAGTAGCAAAAAATATTTATGTTTTACTTGAGAAACCATATTTATTCTTTAATATGTGTGTTTACACAGAAGCTTGTTCTCTGAATAAAATTGTGAAATGCTAAAACCAATATTTCTCTTACCTTAGCATTGTGGTTAAGAATGCAACCAAACTTTCATCTGTTTGGCTTTCTGCAAAATGTACATTGAGAAAGAAACTGGGAACTACCAGGGAGCCCTTAATGACACAGGGACACTAATGAATCACGTTATTCCCCATTTTCCTATGCTAGGTTTCCCAAAACCATTTCTCTTACTTTGCTAAACTATAGAAGCCCTCTTTTTAATTCCCAGCTAACATAAAAGAAAATTAAATGGGGGGGGGGGGGTTGTGTGTGCGTGTGTGTGTGTGTGTAAGCTTGCTGTGGTCTGAGTCTAGTTCAATATAAGCTAACCCTTTAAGCTTGGATTTTAGCCTCTTCCATTCCAAGAGCCTCCCACAGAATCCAGACCAGGGGTGCTTTCATTTTTCTGAGGATACAGGGATATTTATGCCACTTAATCTCTCAATATTAGTGTATTACCTAGTTCCTACATTCATTTGCTGAACAAACATTCTTTTGAGCATATTACATAACAGACACTAGCAGTTATGGTGTAGGTTACACAGCAGTAAATAAGACAAATCCCTGTGTTGGGTAATAGTCTTACTGGGATGAAAAACAGAAATTTAAAGTACTAGGAAAAATTTAAGGTACCAGGTCCATAAAGAGCCCAAGTCATACCTAAGGGGCCTAATAGGCCATCCCTAAATGGAAGCTTACACTAAACTGATACTGATTCATACCCAAGGTTGTTAGAATTGGACTTGATTGGAGATTTATAAGAGAAAATCATTAGCAGCATGGGACAAATATGAAGCCCCTTTATTTTATTTTATTTTATTTTATTTTATTTTATTGTATTGTATTGTATTGTATTGTATTGTATTTATTTTGAGGCGGAATCTCACTCTGTTGCCCAGGCTGGAATCCAGTGGCACAATCTTGGCTCACTGCAACTTCTGCCTCCCGGGTTCAAGCAATTCTCCTGCCTCAGCCTCCCAAGTAGCTGGGATTACAGGTGCCCGCCACCACGCCCAGCTAATTTTTGTATTTTTAGTAGAGATGAGGTTTCACCATGTTGGCCAGGCTGGTCTCAAACTCCTCACCTCAGGTGATCCACCAGCCTCAGCCTCCCAGAGTGCTGGGATTATAGGTGTGAGCCACCGCACTCAGCCTCCCTTTATTCTTTTAAGTTACGGGATGCTTTTTAAAATTTTGACATATGTGTTTTTTTAATAATACTTTTCCTACTTTTGTATGCTTAGATGCTGTGATAAAGATCTCTGGCTTTATAATTTCAAACAAGGAATCATTGAATAGGAAAACATGAAAATTAGGTCATACACATAGTACCAGAAAATATCAAGTCCATTGGCCATGTGATCGTAACTGAGATAGCACTGAGCAATTAATGACCGTGTACCTTACGTGGCAAAGAACCCAAGCTGAAATAAATAGGTTCCTAAAAGACAGATTATATAATTTACATACAGAATTATGACAGAATTTCTAGTTAGTAAAAGTATGTTAGTTTAAGCTTTATTAGTTCAGTTATAATGGTCACTCTAGTAGCAAAAGGATGGAATAATAAAATTTACTTATTTAGCAAGCTTTTAAATATAATATAAATTAAAAGATTAAACATTGTATAGTAAAAGTTAAAAGTCATTGAAATAAAGTTTCGGGTTTTTTTGGGTTTTTTTTGTTTTTGAGACAGAGTCTCATTCTGTTGCCCAGGCTGGAGTGCAGTGGCACAGTCTCGGCTCACTGCAACCTCTGTCTCCTGGGTTCAAGTAATTCTCGTGCCTCAGCCTCTTGAGTAGTTGGGATTACAGGCATGTGCCACCACTCCCAACTAATTTCTGTATTTATAGTAGAGACGGGTTTCACCATGTCAGCCAGGCTGGTCTCGAACTCCTGACTTCAAGTGATCTGCCCACTTCAGTCTCCCAAAGTGCTGGGGACAGGCGTGAGCCACTGCACCCAGCCTGAAATAAACAGTTTTAAAAGCCCTTTATTTAATATCGATCGGAAAAAAATGAAACATATTCCCTCAGCGGCCCCCAACCTTTTTGGCACCAGGGACTGGTTTCATGGAAGACAGTTTTTTCACAGACTAGGCTGGGGAGAGATAGTTTCAGGATGAAACTGTTCCATCTTAGATCAATTAGATTCTTATAAGGAGCACACAGCCTAGATCCCTCATGTGCGGTTCACAATAGGGTTTGCGCCCCCATGAGAATCTAATGTCACTGCGGATCTGACAGGAAGTGGAGCTCAAGCACTAATAATACTCGCTCACTGCTCACTTTCTGCTGTGCGGCGGGTTCCTAACAGTCCACGGACTGGTACTGTGACCCGGGGGTTGGGATCTTCCCCACTACCGCATACCTTACCCAAAAATAAATACCAACAGGAATGAAACCTAAATATGAAAGGTAAAACAATAAAGATGCTAAACAATTACATGGAAGAATATCTTCATGACCTGAAACAGGGAAAGACTTCATTAAAATGGACACAAAAAGGACTAGCCTTAAAGTAAATATTTGATAAATTGACTAAATTAATAACTTATGCTATCAAAAGACATGTTAAGACATTAAAAAGGCAAACCACAGAATGGGAAAAGATTTTTGCAACATGTATAAGTAACAAACGTGGGTATCCAGAAAATATAGAAGAGTTGAGGTAACAATACATAAACAAGACATGGACAGCCCAGTAGAAAAATAAATGGACAAGAGACTTAATAGACGAAAGATAACATTGAAATAGCTAACAGTTATAAATTCTTTCCCATGGCCAATGTCCAGAATGGTGTTTCGTAGGTTTTCTTCTAGGAGTCTTACATTTTGAGGTCTTAACGTTTAAATCTTAAATCCATCTTGAATTAATTTTTATACATAGTGAAAGGTAGAAGTTCAGTTTTGTTCTGCATATGACTAGCCAGTTATCCCAGCACCATTTATTGAATAGGGAGTCCTTTCCCCATTGCTTATTTTTGTCAACTTTGTCAAAGACCAGATGGCTGTAGGTGTGGAGCTTCATTGCTGGGTTGTCTATTCTGGGACCTAATTAAGCTAAAGAGCTTCTGCACAGCAAAATAAACTATCAACAGAGTAAACAGACAACCTACAGAATGGGAGAAAATGTTCACAAAGTATGTATCTGGTAAAGGTTTAAATCCAGAATCTGTAAGGAACTTAAAAAATTCAGCAAGCAAAAACTAAATAACCCCATTTAAAAAGGGAGCCAAAGACATGAACAGACATTTCTCAAAAAAAGACATTACCAGTGGCCAACAAACATGAAAAAACGCTCATCATCACTAATCATCATTAATTATCAAATCAAAACTACAGTGAGATGCCATCTCATACCACTTAGAATGGCTACTATTAAAAAGTCAAAAAACAACAGATGCTGGTGAGGCTTTGGAGAGAAGGGAACACTTACATACTATTGGTGGGAATATAAATTAGTTCAGCCACTGTGGAAGGCAGTTTGGAGGTTTCTCAGAGAACTTAAAACAGAGCTACCATTCCACCCAGCAATCCCATTACTGAGTAGATATCCAAAGGAAAATAAATTATTCTACCAAGAAGACACGTGCACTCATATGTTCATCACCATGCTATTCACAATAGCAAAGTCATGGAATCCACCAGGGTGCCCATCCGTGGTGGATTGGATAAAGAAAATGTGGTACATATGCACCCTGCAATGATATGCAGCCATGAAAAAAGAGTAAAATCATGTCCTTTGCAGCAACATGGATGCATCTGGAAGCCATTATCCTAAGTGAATTAATGCAGGTACAGAAAAACAAATACCACATATTCTCCCACTTATACGTGGGAGTTAAACCATGGTTACTCATGGACATACAGATGGCAACAATAGACACTGGGGACTACAAGAAGAGGGAGAGAAGGAGGGGGAAAGGGATGAAAAACTAACTATTATGTACTATGCTTACTACCTGGGTGACGGGATTATTCATATCACAAACCTTAGCATCACACAGTATACCCGTGTCACAAACCTGCACATCCACCCTCTGAATCTAAAAGTTGAAATTTTTTTTAAAGGCCAATAAACATTTGAAAACATTTTTCAACCTCATTAATGATCAAGGCAATATGAATTAGAAGTGTTATTTGCAAACAGTTGACCAGAGAATTAACAGTCATTCTCACATACTTACAAAAGCTAGAATACAGAATCTCTATTTGGTAGCACTCATTGCTTATTTTCCTTATGGAGCAAATTCTAAAGGTCATCCTACTTCAGGCATTCTCATTTCCCTCAGCAAATCGGAATTAGTGAAATTTTGCCATGCTGTCCCCAAGCTGAGCAAACAGCATTTAAGGAATCAGACCTCATCTAGAGTCACATGTTTTCAATGATTGTTCTTACAAATTAACATGAAAACATTAATGCTCTTTATTATATCTCAGCATATATCATTAAATAGTATAGTATGATGTATCTATAAAGCGAGATTTTAGTTCTCAAGAAATTCTCATGTTTTAAAAGAAAACAAAAATTTTAAGAAATATTTTGTGACTTTATTTGATTCCCCATCTTGTTTTCAAGTACCTTCTGAGATGATAAATCTTCAGGGAAACTTGATAGCATATTATTTGTACAATTCAGGTCAGTAAACATTTGTATAGGACCTATCATGTGGAAGGTACCATACAAGGCACTGAGGTGGAGAAAAGATGGATAAGATATGTTCTTTCAAGAGGCTAATGAATGGTCTAGTAGGAGAGATAGGCAGTTTAGGAGAGTTGTAAAATAGAGAATTAGGGAGTAGTGGTAAGGAAGGAAATGAAAGAAAATGTCAGGCTACAGAGGACTGTATGAGCCATACTAAGATGTTTGAACATCATTCGGAAGGCGATGAAGAGTCATGAAAGGGTTTAAATCTGAGGTGTGGAACATAATCAGATTAAATTTTACAAGGGTGATTCTGGTGTAAGGCTTTGAAACCCCCACTGGTGTTTAAGAGACAACAAGTTTACTAGCAACATTGAGTTCCTTGTAGAGATTGGAGGCCATAATTTGCAGATTGGTTCTTCTGCAAATGCATTGTTCGCCCTAGCAATATTTGGTAGACAAGTATAAAATCAGAAAAGAAAAAAGTTAAATGAACCGTATATTGCAGTTTTGATGGGTGAGAGAAAAATAAACCAGACTGACAAGATTGTTGAGATTATTGGAATTTTTTTTTTTTTAAGACAGAGTCTCACTCTGTCGCCTAGGGTGGAGTCCAGTGGCACGATCTCAGCTCACTGCAACCTCCGCCTCCTGGGTTCAAGTGATTCTCCTACCTCAGCCTCCCAAGTAGCTGAGATTACAGGCGCCAACCACCATGCTCAGCTAATTTTTTGTACTTTTAGTAGAGACGGGGTTTCACCATGTTGGCCAGGCTGGTCTCGAACTCCTGACCTCAGGTGATCTGCCTTCCTCTGCCTCCCAAAGTGCTGGGATTACAGGCTTGAGCCATAGTGCCCAGCCTGGAAAGATAATATTTAATGTGATGGTTCATGCACCATAGTCTAAATAAGAAATTTAAGACAGGAGAGAATTGATAACTTGAGGTGTAAGGAATGAAGGTTAGGTAAAGGAACTAAAGTTCTTGATGAGGCTGAAGAGAAACATGGTAGGAGGGAGGGAGGGAGAGCAGGGAGAACGGGAAACTATGTTCAGAGCCTGACATTGCTGAGTTTATGTTTTCAGAGGCAACATGTCTCTGAGTGAACACAGGCTCTGTGTGACCATGGAAGTGAGTGGCTGATGTATGGAAGAGATGAAAGTCAGGGACTGTGGGGAAGTCTAGGAACTGTGAGGTAATCATTTTGATGAGGTATATGAATAGGAGGTGGAGAAGGCTGTGAACTGGGCTCCAAAGCCTCCAGCAAATGTTGAGGAAAGAATAATAGGCCTTGTGATAGCAAAGAAAATGCTGTGGGGGGTGATAGAGCTGGACGGTGGTGACTCAGAAGAGCAGGACTTATGCATTTGAGGGAAAACGGAATAGTGTAGAAGCGCAACTGGGAAGACAGAGAGTGCCAAACGTCCCTCCTGGCCCAGGATACAGGAGTGGTGTCCAGTAGTCTCCTCCTTGGATGGCTACAGGGGAAGGATTCTTCTCAGAGGAGAGCAAATAGTCTAACAGAATGTTCTGCAAATTAATGAAAGACAAATTTTAATTTGTTTATAATAGAACAAACATTAGAAAATAGTAATTAAATTCCTTTGAGTCATGGACACTTTGAGAGTCTAATAAAAGTTATGTTTTAATAACTAATAAACAGAGTATTGCAATTGTATCTAACAATTACATGTTTTCTTCCTCCTTATTTTTTTTTTTTCCCAAGATGAGGTCTTGCTTTGTCACCCAGGCTGGAGTGCAGTGGTATAATCATGGCTCACTGCAGCCTTGACCACCAGGGTTCAAGTGATTCTCTCCCACCTCAGCCTCCCAAAAAGCTAGAACCACAGGCACATACCACAACACCCAGCTAAATTTTTTTATCATTTGTAGAGACAGGGTCTCACTATGTTGCCCAGCTGGTCTCAAACTCCTGGCCTCAAGCAATCCTCCTGCCTCAGCCTCCCAAAGTGCTGGAATTACAGGCATGAGCCACCAGGCCCAGCTTCTTCCTACTATTTTTAATATTGAAAAAAAGATACTGACTAAATTATAAAAACAATAAGACATGACAGTTATTTGTTTCATTATATATTAAGCAGGCTCAGTTTAAAGTAAGTTGATTAGCATTAAAGTCATATCTGAAGGCCCAAAATGAACTTGAAATGATTCTACTTCCCAATGTTTATACATTTTCTCCCACTGATCTGATAATCCTGTTCCTAAAATCCAGACATCCATATGAGAGTTCACAAGAGGTCCTTATGGCTTAGTCCATTTGTTTGGTTGTTTGGGGGTTTTGTTTTGCTTAGTTTTTTGCTTTGGTTTTGTTTACATTTTTGTTTTATGTTTGTTTGTTTGGTCACTATTGGGCTAATACTGACCATTATTTAGATTTATAACCTTCAATCTTGTGATGAATTGGTTTTGAAAACTGCAGGCTACAATTTTTTATTTCTCTAGTAAGCTCCTGGAAGTCAAGATATTTTATATTTTCAAAAATAAAATTCTCTTCTTCAGACCGACTGTGCCCACGATAGTTTACAGCTACAACCAGGAATAACAAATGCAAGGACTGCGATCAAGTTAACATGGATTTGACTGAATATACATCCAAACTTATAAGTGGGTTACAGAAAGTCAATTGGCAAGTCATTTGTATGGAAATAGTGATGAGTTTTCCCATTTAAAAGTTAATAATGGCCAGGCACGGTGGCTCACGCCTGTAATCCCAGCACTTTGGGAGGCCGAGGCAGGTGGATCACTTGAGGTCAGGAGTTCAAGACCAGCCTGGCTAACATGGTGAAACCCCGTCTCTACTAAAAATACAAAAAATTAGCCAGGCATGGTGGTGGGCGCCTGTAGTCCCAGCTACTCAGGAGACTGAGGCAGGAGAATTGCTTGAACCCAGGAGGCAGAGGTTGCAGTGAGCCAAGATCATGCCACTGCACTCCAGCCTGGGCGACAGAGCGAGACTCTGTCTCAAAAAAGAAAAAAAGAAATGAGTAAATTAATTAGTGTGTGTAAATTGCCAAAACTTGAACAAGAAGAAACAGAAAAGATGACTAATCATCAACCAGTAAATAAACTGAAATAATGAAAGACATCTCCCTTTAAGATTTTTTCTCAGCTCAGTTAGCTTTCTGGGTGAACACAGATTCCATGTTACCGTGGAAGTGAGTGGCAGATATACAGCAATGTAGGTTGAGCATCCCTAATCCAAATTTTCAAAATCTGAAATGCTCCGAAATCCAAAACCTTTTTAGCACCAGCATGACACCATGCGTTGAAAATGTTATACTTGACCTTATGTGACGAGTCACAGTCAAAACGCAGGCACACAATACACAGTTTACTCAGCATCCTCAAGCAGAAAAAAAAAAAAAAAAAAACCCTCCCAGCTCCCTTCAGCTGCCATATATCTTTTCCACATACACCCAGTTTCCCCCACGCAAGCAAGCACACACACAAAGGATAGTAAAATGGCATATGTGCAGGCCAGGCATGCTGATGGCAGGTTTCCCACAATGCCCCACATGGAGCCAAGACCTGCATGCATGACTCAACTGTGTTTGGTTGCTTACTCTCTTTGCTGTGTGGTGTAAAGATATTGTTGAAAATGACAAAATGGCCTGCAGATACCCCTCAGGGTAACTGATAAAAAGAGGAAGCATTTATGTTTACCTCTAGCACAGAAAGCCAAGCTGTTGGAGAAACTGGACAGGAGTATATGAAACATCCATATATGACCTGAAGAAACAGAAGGATACACCGCTGAAGTTCTGTGCTGAAACTGATTCACAGAAGTTAGTGAAGATTAGAAAACTGCATAAAGCCAAACATGAAGATTTTGATCATGTATTGAAAGTGCGGATCTGTCCACGTCACAGTGAACACATGGCACATAGTGGTATGCTGACCATGAAACAAAGGCCAATGATGAACTGAAAATTAAAAGGAACTGTGAATAATCAATAGTCTGGTTGCAGAAATTTAAGAAAAGACACAGCATTACATTTTTAAAGATTTGTGATGATAAAGCATCTGCTGATCACAAAGCAGTGAAGAAATTCATTGAGTTTGCCAGAGTCATGGCTAATGAAAATCTGAAGCCAAAACAAGTCTATAATGCTGATGAAACATCACTGTTTTGGCATCATTGCCTCAGAAAGACACTGACTACAGCTGATGAGACAGCACCTACTAGAATTAAGGCTGCCAAGAACAGAATATGCTGGGATGTGCTAATGCATCAGGCATACATAAGTGGGGTGATAGATAAAAACTTGTGTCCTCACTGTTTTCAAGGAGTGAATTTCTTACCAGTCTGTTATTATGCTAACAAAAAGACCTGGAGCACCAGGGACATCTTTTTTGATTGGTTTCACAAACATTTGGTACCAAGTGGCTCATGCTTGCTGCAGGGAGACTCAATTGGATGATGACTGCAAAGATTTTGTTATTACATGACAACTGTTCTGCTCATCTCCCAGCTGAAATTCTCATTTAAAAAATGTTTATTCTGGCCGGGCGCGGTGGCTCACGCCTGTAATCCCAGCACTTTGGGAGGCCGAGGCGGGCGGATCACGAGGTCAGGAGATCGAGACCATCCCGGCTAAAACGGTGAAACCCCGTCTCTACTAAAAATACAAAAAATTAGCCGGGCGTAGTGGCGGGCGCCTGTAGTCCCAGCTACTCGGGAGGCTGAGGCAGGAGAATGGCGTGAACCCGGGAGGCGGAGCTTGCAGTGAGCCGAGATCCCGCCACTGCACTCCAGCCTGGGCGACAGAGCGAGACTCCGTCTCAAAAAAAAAAAAAAAAAAAAAAAATGTTTATTCTATGTACTTTCCCCTAAATGTGACTTCATCAATTTAGCCATGTGACCAGAGTATCCTTAGATCAATAAAGAGTAGATTAAAAAAACACTTTTCTTAAATAGCATGCTAGCTACCAGCAGTGTGCAGAGGTGTGGGTGTGAGAAAGTGTTCAAAAGGAGTTTAGCCTGAGGATGCTCTATATGCTGTTGCCATTGCTTGAAACAGGTGTGCATGACTGGCACAACTCTGGCCTACAACTATGTCGACTGGTAATGAAGTCACCAGATGGTGACTTTGAAGGATTATATATGTCAAGTGAGAAAAAAAAATGATGGCTGAACTCCTTACCTTTGCAAAAAAATAGACCTTCACAATCTGTCAGTTAGCTGGAAGAAGTGAATACTAAAGAAGTTTCTAACATTGATAACAAGGCTCTACTTGTTCATTCATTGACCAATGGTGAAATGGCCAAAATGATTCTGAATAAGGTAATTGTGGTAATAGTGATATTGTTAACACTGCAGAAAAAGTGCCTGTAGATGACAGGGTAAAATTGTGTGATGGGCTTATTGAAGAACTAGAGCAGCAGGCATTCATAACAGAACAACTCATGTCTATTTATAAAATCAAAGAGAGACTGCTAAAATAAGAGCTATTGTTGAGATGGGGGCCAAGAGGGCCCATTAGAAGCAGCTGCAGTCCACAGCACAGAGAGGAATGAAAGCATCAAGTGAATTCAGCACCTTCAACTGAAATATCCAGGTTCTCGCATTGGGACTGACTAAACAATCACCCTGATCCAGAGAGAATAAAGAAAAGCAGAGTGGGTCAGTGGCCCACCCAGGAGCCTCACGGAGCCAAAGGAACCCCCACCCCCAGCAAAGGGAAGCGGTGACCGATTGTGCGACCCGCCCAGGACCATGCTTCTCCCACAGATCTTTGCAACTTGTGGATCAGGAGATCCCCTCATGAGCCCACGCTACCAGGGCCTTGGGTCCAATAAACAGAGCTGTGCGGAGTCTCAGCACAGGTACACACAGAGACAAGAGTTTTACATACTCCGGCCCCGGAATTTCCAGCAAGGTGACAGATCCCTTTGTACCTTCCCCTAGGAAGGGGGCTGAATCCAGGGAGCCAAGCAGCATTGTTCTGCAGGCCCCACTTCCACAGCACCTCACAAGTTAAGTCCCACTGTCTTGGAATTCCAGCCAGCCAATGGCAACACAGTGAGTCTGCCTGAAACAGGATGGAGTTCCCTGTGGGAGGGGTGGCTACCATTTCTGTGGTTTGGTCAACTGCACATTCCAGCCTGCCAGCTCCAGAGAGTCTGGGTGGTCCAGATGAGGAAGGGATACCCCCAACACAGCACAGCTGCTGTGCCAGATTGTGCCCAAACTGCTTTAAAGTGGGACCCTGATCCATTCCTCCTCACTGGGCAGGGCCTCCCTGTGGGGGGCCTTCAATCACTCCAGCCGGGCTTATATGGACAGAGAGCTCTGATCTCTCCCTGGGATGCAGCTCCCAGAAGGAGGGGAGGCTGCCATCTCTGTGGTTCAGTCAACTGAGCTGTTCCAGCTTGCCTACTCTAGAGAGTCTGGGCAGTCCAGATGAGGAAGGGTCCTCCCCAACAGAGCACACCTGCTCTACAGCCAGACTGCTTCTTTAAGCGGGTCCCTAATTCTGTTCCTCCTGACTGGGTGAGACCTTTCAATAAGGGTCTCCAGAAACCTCTGAAACGAGCATTTGGGCCAGCAGCAGGTCAGTACCCACCCTGGGATGGAGTGTCCAGAGGAAGGAGCAGGCTGCCATCTTTGCTGCTTCACAGCCTTCACTGTTGATACCTCCAAGTACAGGAAAAGCAGAGGCAACTAAGGTCTGGAGCAGACCCCCAACAAACCACAGCAGCCCTGTGGTTGCTAAGAGTCAGTAGCCTGACCGTGAAAAGAAAAAAACAACAACAACATCAACAAAAAAGACCCCACAGAAACCTTTTCAGAAGTCAGCAGCCTCAAAGGTCGAAGGTAGATAAGCCCACAAAGATGAGAAAGAATCAATGCAAAAACGCTGAAACTCAAAAAGACAGAGTGCCTCTTCTCCAGGTGAATGCAACACCTCTCCAGCAAGGCCTCGGAACTGCGATGAGGCTGAGATGGCTGAGTTGACAGAAGTAGGCTTCAGAAGGTGGGAAATAACAAACTTCGCTGAGATAAAGGAGCATGTCGTAACCCAATGCAAAGAAGCTAAGAATCATGATAAAACAATACAGGAGCTGATAACCAGAATAGCCAGTTTAGAGAGGAACATAACTGACTTGATGGAGCTGAAAAATATAACATGAGAACTTCACAGTGCAATCACAAGTATCAACAGCAGAAGAGACCAAGTGGAGGAAAGGATCTCAGACCTTGAAGACTATCTTTCTGAAATAAGACAGGCAGACAAGAATAGAGAAAAAAGAATGAAAAGGAATGAACAAAACCTCCAAGAAATGTGGGATTATGTAAAGAGATGGAACCTGCAACTGACTGGGGTACCTGAAGGAGACAGGGAGAACAGAACCAAGTTGGAAAACATACTTTAGTATATCATCCAGTAGAATTACCCCAACCTATCAAGACAGGCCAACATTCAAATTCAGGAAATGGAGAGAACCCCAGTAGGATACTCCATGAGAAGATTATCCAAGACACATACTTATCAGATTCCAGGTCAAAATGAAAGAATAAGTGTTAAGGGCAGCCAGAGAGAAAGGCCAGGTCACCTACAAAGGTAAGCCCATGAGACTAACAGCAGACTTCTCAGCAGAAACCCTACAAGCCAGAAGAGATTGGGGGCCAATATTTAAAATTCTTAAAGAAAAGAATTTCCAACCCAGAATTTCATTTTCAGCCAAACTAACCTTCATAAACAAAAGAGAAATAAGATCCTTTTCAGACAAGCAAATGTTGAGGGAATTCGTCAATACCAGGCCTACCATGCAAAAGCTCCTGAAGGAAGCACTAAATGTGGAAAGGAAAAACCATTACCAGCCACTATGAAAACACACTGAAGTACACAGACCAGTGACAGTATGAAGCAACCACATAAACAAGTCTGCAAAATAACCAGTTAGCATCATGATGACAGAATCAAATTCACACATAACAATACTAGCCTTAAATGTAAACGGGCTAAATGCACCAATTGAAAGACACAAAATGGCAAACTGGATAAAGAGCCAACCCCCATTGGTGTGCTGTCTTCAAGAGACCCATCTCACATGCAAAGACACACTTAGGCTCAAAATAAAGAGATGGAGGAAAATTTACCAAGCAAATGGAAAACAGAAAAAAGCAAGGGTTGCAATCCTAGTTCTGACAAAACAGACTTTACACCAGCAAAGATCAAAAAAAGACAAAGAAGGGCATTATATAATGGTAAAGGGTTCAATTCAACAAGAAGAGTTAACTCAGCTCTGGATCAAGCGGACCTGATAGATATCTACAGAACTCTCCACCAAAAAACAACAGAATATTCATTCTTCTTCTCACCCTACAGCACTTACTCAAAACTTGTTCACATAATCAGAAGTAAAACACTCCTTAGCAAATGCAAAAGAACCGAAATCATAAGAAACCATCTCTCAGACAACGGTGCAACCAAATTAGAACTCAAGATTAAGAAATTCACTCAAAACCACACAAGTACATAGAAATTGAACAGCCTGCTCCTGAATTACTTGTGGATAAATAACGAAATTAAGGCAGAAGTCAAGAAGTTGTATGAAATTAATGAGAACAAAGAGACAGTGTACCAGAATCTCTGGGACACAGCTAAAGCAGTGTTAAGAGGGAAATTTGTAGCACTAAATGCCCAGATCAATAAGCTAGAAAGATCTCAAGGTATCAACCTAACATCACAACTAAAAGAACTAGAAAACCAGACCAAACAAACCCCAAGGCAAGAAATAGCCAAGATCAGAGTGGAACTGAAGGAGATACAGACACACACACACACACACAAACCCTTCAAAAAATCAACAAATTCAGGAGCTGTTTTTTTGAAAAAAATTAATAAGATGATCTACTAGCTAGACTAATAGAAAAGAGAGAAGAATCAAATAACACAATCAGAAATGATAAGTGGGATATCACCACTGACCCCACAGAAATACATACAACCATCAGAGAATACTATGAATACCTCTATGCACATAAACTAGAAAATCTAGAAAAACATGGATAAACTCCTGGACGCATACACCTTCCCAAGACTGAACCAAGAAGAAATCGAATCCCTTAGTAGACCAATAATGAGTTCTAAAATTGAGGTAGTAGTAAATAGCCTACCAACCACAAAAAACCCAGGACCAGACAGATTTACAGCTGAATTCTGCCAGAGGTACAAAGAGCGGGTAGGTACCATTTCTACTGAAACTGTTCCAAAAAATTGAAAAAGAGGGACTCCTCCCTAACTGATTGTGTGAGACCAGCATCATCCTGATACCAAAACCTGGCAGAGATACAACAAAAAAAGAAAACTTCAGGCCAATATCCATGGTGAACATAGATACAAAAATCCTTAGTAAAATACTGGCAGACTGAATCTAGCAGCATATCAAAAAGCTTATCCACCACCATCAAGTGGGTTTCATCCCCAGGATGCAAGGTTGGTTCAACATTCGCAAATCAATAAACGTGATTCATCACATAAACAGAACTACAGACAAAAACCACATGATCTCAATAGATGCAGAAAAGGCCTTTGATAAAATTCGACATCGCTTCATGGTAAAAGCTCTCAATAAACTACTGCCCAAAGTAATTTATAGATTCAATGCTATCCCCGTTAGACTACCATTGACATTCTTCACAGAATTGGAAAAAACTATTTTAAAATTCATATGGAATTGAAAAAGAGCCGAATAGCCAAGACAGTCCTAAGCAAAAAGATCAAAGCTAGAGGCATCATGCTACCTGACTTCAAACTGTGTTACAGGGCTACCATAACCAAAACAGCATGGCACTGGTACAAAAAGCAGACACATAGACCAATGGAATTGAATAGAGAACTCAGAAATTAAGACTGCACACCTACAACAATCTGATCTTCAACAAACCTGACAAAAGCAAGCAATGGGGAAAGGATTCCCTATTTAATAAACGGTGCTGGGAGAACTGGCTAGTCATATGCAGAAAATTGAAACTGGACCCCTTCTTTGTACCTTATACAAAAATTAACTCGAGATGGATTAAAGACTTAAATGTAAAACCCAAAACTATAAAAACCCTAGAAGAAAATCTAGGCAATACCATTCAGGACATAGGCACTGGCAAAGATTTCATGACAAAAACACCAAAAGCAATAGCAATGAAAGCAAAAATTGACAAATGGGATGCAATCAAACTAAAGAGCTTCTGCACAGCAAAAGAAACTATCATCAGAGTGAACAGACAACCTACAAAATGGGAGAAAATGTTTACAATCTATCTTCCTGACAAAGGTCTAATATCCAGAGTCTATAAGGAACCTAAACAAATTTACAAGACAAAAAAAAAAACAACCCCATTAAAAAGTGGACAAAGGACATGAACAGACTCTTCTCAAAAGAAGACGTACATGTGGTTAACAAACGTGAAAAAAAGCTCAACATCACTGATCATTAGAAAAATGCAAATCAAAACCACAGTGAGATACCATCTCATGCCAGTCAGAATGGTGATTATTAAAAAGTCAAAAAAACAACAGATGCTGGCAAGGTTGCAGAGAAAAAAGAATGCTTTTCCACCATTGGTGGGAGTGCAAATTAGTTCAACCATTGTGGAGAACAGTGTGGTGCTTTCTCAAAGATCTAGAGGCAGAAATACCATTTGACCCAGCAATCCCATTATTGGGTATATACCCAAAGGAATATAAATCGTCCTCTTATAAAGATACATGCATGTGTTTGTTCATTGCAGCACTATTCACAATAGCAAAGACATGGAATCAACCCAAATGCCCACCAGTGATAGATTGAATAAAGAAAATGTCATACATACACACCATGGAATACTGTGCAGCCATAAAAAGGAACGAGATCATGTCCTTTGCAGGGACATGGATGGAGCTGGAGGCTGTTATCCTTGGCAAACTAATGTAGGAACAGAAAGCCAAGTACCACGTGGCCTCACTTATAAGTGGGAGCTGAACAATGGGAACACATGGATACTTGGTGGGGAACTACACACACTGGGGCCTGTTGGGGGATGAGGGAGAGCATCACTGGAAGAATAGCTAATGGGCGCTGGGCTTAATACCTAGGTGATTGGATGATCTGTGCAGCAAACCACCATGGTACACATTAACCTGTCTAACAAACCTACACATCCTACACATGTACCCCTGAGCTTAAAAGTTGAAGGAAAAAAAGCCATTGTTAATGAGGCAGATGACTCTAGAGGCAACATTTTGCAAAACCATCCAACAGAATGCCTCCTCATCCCTAAAGGACCCAGTTCCTGGTCCCTCAATTGCTTTTCATGTTTCTTCTCACCTGAAAACAAAAAATACAGTGGACAGTTACCTTTCCATCAAAACACAGCATGGTAGAGACGGAAAGCCTGCCGTTGTCTGTTGCTGTCTAACAGCTGAGACAGGTATTCTGGTGATGCTACTGTGCTTCTTAGTTACCTGAACACATTATTTTTTTTAACTGTATTAATGGCATATCATATTTTTAACTGTTAAGTACATGTGTAAGTGTAAGAAAATGATTGCTTATCAGTAGTACATGAATTCAGAGTCAGGAATAATGGTGATGCCAAACAACCACAGATTGTCCACATGGGTGGCTGAGTTAGTGACACCTTTGCTTTCCAGTGGCTCCTCGTATATAAACTATTTCATGCACAGAATTATTACAAATATTGGATAAAATGACCTCTAGGCTATGAGCGTAAGGTGCATATGAAAGATAAATGAATTTCATATTTAGACTTGGTTCTCATCCCCAAGATATTTCATTATATATTTGCAAATATTCCAAAATCTGAAAAAAACCAAAACACTTCTGGTCTCAAGCATTTCAGTGAAGGGATATTCAATCTGTATGGCTAAATTCTACCAAAAGAAGAGATTACTTGTATTACACAAATAGCTAAAGGAGATAGAAAAAGATTAAATACTACCCAACTAACTTAATGATGTTAGTATAACCTTGATTCTAAAAGTGAAAAGGGTAGTACAAGAAAAGGAAAAGGGAAATCCATTTTATTTATAAACACAGATGGAAAAAATGTTAATAACCTAATTAAATCCAACATTGCATTGCATTTGTTTGTTTGTTTGTTTGTTTGTTTAGACACTGTCACTCTGTCACCCAGGCTGAGCGCAGTGGCATGATCTTGGCTCTCTGCAACCTCTGTCTCCCAGGTTCAAGCGATTCTCCTGCCCCAGCCTCTTGAGTAGCTGGGACTACAGGCACGTGCCACCACGCCTGGCTAATATTTTTGTATTTTTTAGTAAAGACAGGGTTTCACCATGTTGGCCAGGCTGGTCTTGAACTCCTGGCCTCAGGTGATCAGCCAGCTTTGGCCTCCCAAAGTGCTGGGATTACAGGTGTGAGCCACCACACCCGGCCCCAAGATTGCATTTAAAAGTACTGAATAAACAGGTTTTTATCTAGTAATTGACTTGAAAACTTAATAAGAGTTTAAAGAAAATACCTTTAGACTAGTTCCATCACAGTTCTAATTTTTAAAACATCTTCGGCTGGGCATGGTGGTTCACGCCTGTAATCCCAACACTTTAGGAGGCTGAGGCAGGTGGATCACCTGAGTCAGGAGTTCGAGACCAGCCTGGCCAACATGGTGAAACACCATCTCTACTAAAATTCCAAAAAATTAGCTGGGCGTGGTGGCACACACCTGTAATCCCAGCTAGTCTGGAGGCTGAGGCAGGAGAATCACTTGAACCTGGGAGGTGGAGGTTGTGGTGAGCTGAGATCACACCACTGCACTCCAGCCTGAATGACAGAGAGAGACTTTGTCTCAAAATAAATAAATAAGATAAAAATAAAACATCTTCATCAACCTCTGGTAATCTACAGAAAACTTAATGTTATCGTGAAATCAAATACAATAGCACTTATAGGATATGTCTCACAAAACAGATGCCGACATCAGTGGCTCAGACAGTTGTCCAGAAGGAAAGTGGCCTGCAGCACACCCGAAAGATGCTGCATGTTGGTGACCCAAGTGTGAAAAAGACAGCCATCTCGCTGCTGAGGAATCTGTCCCGGAATCTTTCTCTGCAGAATGAAATTGGTGAGTCGGTATAAGTATCTATGTGTAATATGTACATGCTGAAGATACAATGCAATGAAATGTTGTCTGTATCACCTCCCGTTCACAAAGATGCACTGGAAATGGGAGTAAGGAGTAGGTGATAAACCGGCCTGCCTTTTGTGCCACCAGATATCACAAACAGGCTTTCTCAGTGGATCTCACCAGAGATTTTTTTTAAATATCCAACATTTAAAAAAAAAATTACTACAAAAGAGAAATTTTAGAGCATACTAATAATTAACAAGATAAGTAATATTGTTGATATTTTTCACTGGGTGGCACCCTCAGTCACACCATCCAATGAAGTCTTTCTAATCCATATAGTTGTCTTTCAGAATGTTCTCTCTGTGGCTCTCTTAAGCACCACAATTCTAGAACATTTGAAAAACACATATAGTGGTGGTTTACTTTAGTAGTTTGGCAGTGTGTTGGACTATTAAAAAAATGGATAAACAGATAATCACAATAAAAAGACAAGGAGTCACTGAATATAGCAAATTTGGCATGGATTTTTTTTGAGTAACTGTGATGAGACATATTTTGCCTTTGACTGTATTATTGACAGAGATGATAACGGTACTTTTTTATTTGTTTGCTTATACCAAGAAGTATGTGATAAATGTTTGTTGTATCTAGTAGAAAATTACAAAATGAGATGATAGAAAGATAATGCTAAAATTAAACATGCTTCATAATGCTCTGTAATCGGTCGTTTCTAACAACTCAAATTCGGTTTTTCACATTTCACAAAAATTATAAACAATATTTTGCCTGTTTTAATGGATTAGATTTTTAAATATGCACATATATAGCCCCAGAGATATTAAAGGCTGCAGTTATGTTTTAGTAATGTCATTTTCAAAGCCAGCCAGCAGCACATTTGACAGGAGGTTTTATGCAATGGCTTCATGCTCATTCTAAGTAGAGATAAGCCTGGAACATTCTCAGTGAATCTGAAAGAGACCTCGCCATAGGCACTCTCAGAATTATTAAAATGCTCTCCCCATGGTCTTTTGTGCTGAACTTCAATGGCAGTGTATTATCCTTTCCCTTTTTTGTTCTTTTCCCAAATGAAAAATTGACTCCATCTTTAAAACACCACCAAGGTAAATAACAGCACTATACACATTAAGCATGTACCTTCAGGGCAGAAATGCTGTTGGCCTCAGGTTCTGCAGTCCCCTAAATGTCGGGAAGGTATAGCTGTAGCCACATGGTTTATATTAGAGGATTCTGTTGATAAACTTCACTTTAAGGATAACAGAGAAAAGAGGCTTCAGCAAGATAAATGCTATTTTAAAATTCCAGATTGGCTTCATGTCAAATATATAAGTAAAAGGACTTCTCTTAATTCAGAATTTTAATAGCAAGAAATAAGTGAAAGTCAGCTTGAACACATGCTTTGTGTTTCTCATGAGAGCTTTCTAAGCCAGGTAACTTTCCCTGTTCTCACCTGCAATAAAGTTGTTATGTTTTACTTACATCTAGAGAAATAAACTTGAAACTTACATTTTCTCAAAAACTTAAAGACAGGCAATGGAGCATGGTAACAGAATAACAGATTTCACACAGAAAACATGGGTTTGTATCTCACAGTGCTATTTTGCCAGTCAAGGCCTTTCATTCTGTAGTTTAACTTACTAAAAGGAGGGAGACTTCTGATAATAGCATCCACTGAGAGCTTACCACATGCGCAGTACTGCAATACAATTAACATGCATTGACTCGTTCCCTCAGAACAACCCTGTGACGTAGACATTATTATCCCACATTGCAACTTAGGGAAAAACAAATAGAGACATTAAGTAGCTTGCTCAGGCCATAGAGCTGTAAAGTAGCAGAACCAGGACTGAAACTACAGCACTCTGGCTTTAGATGAACGCTGAGCTCTCCACAGTATGCTGTGTGCTTGAACCACAGTCAAAAGGAAAGTGTTCAGGCCTGTGAGCAAAAGGTATGTCTTACCTGTCAATCAGGTCCAGGTATTATGATGACATATCATTCAGTGCCTTTTATTGAGTACTTGTCCATTTCAGGAATAATGATCAACGCTGTAAACACAGAAATAAGTAAGATAATTGGCTTCAAGGAACCCACAGCCTCATCTGAAGTTGAGACAGTCACACAATTCATTACTATCAGTATCATAGAGAGAGAAATGTGCTTCAAGATGCCACATGAACACAGATGAAGGCACACAATAAAATTAGGCAGTATTTGTTAATTGCTGATAAACACAACACGTATTCAGAAGCTGTGGGGATCAGCAAAAGCAAAAGATGCATGCTCTCTATCTTTTAAGAAGAGTCTAAAGTGGTTAGAGGAAAAAGAGGAAAACATACATGAAAATAACTATTACAAAAAGTTTAAGCACAAGTTCACATTGACCAAAATATGTACCATAGGACAAGTTCCAGTGGATTTATCAAATATTAACACCTTTTAAGAATTTTCAATAGATTTTTGGGTACAGGTGGTGTTCAGTTACATGCAAAAGTTATTTAGTGATTATTTCTGAAATGTTGGTGCACATGTCACCTGAGCAGTGTACACTGTACCCAATGTGTAGTCTTTTATCCCTCACCCCTTCCTACCTTTCCCCCAAGTCCCCAAAATCCATTATATAACTCTTGTTCCTTTGCATCCTCATAGCTTAGCTCTCACTTATAAGTGAGAACATCCAATATTTGGTTTTCCATTCCTGAGTTATTTCACTTAGAATAGTGGTCTCTAATTCCATCCAATTTGCCGCAAAGGCCATTATGTCTTTCTTTTTAATGGCTGAGTAGTATTCCATGGTGTGTATATACCACATTTCCTGTATCCACTCGTTGGTTGATGGGCATTTAGGTTGGCTCCATATTTTGCAATTGTGAATTGTGCTGCTATAAACATGCATGTACAAGTGTCTTTTTCATATAATGACTTCTTTTCCTTTGGGTAGATACCCAGTAGTGGTATTGCTGGATCAAATGGTAGTTCTACTTTTAGTTCTTTAAGGAATCTCTATACTGTTTTCCATAGTGGTTGTACTAGTTTACATTCCCACCAGCAGTGTAGAAGTGTTCCCTTTTCACCATATCCATGCCAACATCTATTAAATTTTGATTTTTAAATTATGGTCATTCTTGCAGGAGTAAGGTGGTATCTCATTGTGCTTTTAATTTGCATTTCCATGATAATTAGTGATGTTGAGCATTTTTTCATATGTATGAGGCGTATCAAAAAATTTTTCTTATGCCATTTGTATATCTTCTTTTGAGAATTGTCTATTCATGTCCTTAGCCCACTTTTTGATGGAATTATTTGGCTTTTTTCTTGCTTTTTTGAGATCCTTGTAGATTCTGGATATTAGTCCTTTGTCGAATGCAGTTTGTGAATATTTTCTCCCACTCTGTGGGGTGTCTGTTTACTCTGCTGATTATTTATTTTGCTGTGCAGAAGCTTTTTAGTTTAATTGGATCCCATTTACTTATTTTTGGTTTTGTTGCATTTGCTTTTGGGTTCTTGGTCATGAACTCTTTGCCTAAGCCAATGTCTAGAAGAGTTTTTCCAGTGTTATCTTCTAGAATTTTTATGGTTTCAGGTCTCAGATTTAATCTTTGATCCATCTTGAGTTGATTTTTGTATAAAGTGAGAGATGAGGATCCAGCTTTATTCTTTTACATGTGGCTTGCCAATTATCCCAGCATCATTTGTTGAATATGTTGAATAGGGTGGCCTTTCCCCACTTAATGTTTTTGTTTGCTTTGTCAAAGATCAGTTGGCTGTAAGTATTTTGCTTTATTTCTGGGTTTTCTATTCTATTCCATTGGTCTATGTATCTTTTTTATTTTCTATAGCCTAATTGTGAAAGTGGCATGTCTATTTTTTTAATACCTTTCTTGTTAGTACAAAAAAAAAAAGCCAAACTCAAAACTTATAACCAAGAAGTTATATACATAGTAGAAAAGTACATTTAAAATAGTTTATTTCTCTTTTTAAAATAGTAGGCCAGGCGCAGTGGCTCACGCCTGTAATCCCAGCAGTTTGGGAGGCTGAGGCGGGCAGATCACCTGAGGTCAGGAGTTCGAGACCAGCCTCAACATGGAGAAACCCCATCTCTACTGAAAAAAAAAATATACAAAAAATTAGCCGGGCATGGTGGTGCGTACCTGTAATCCTAGCTACTCGGGAGGCTGAGGCAGGAGAATTGCTTGAACCTGGGAGGCGGAGGTTGCAGTGAGATGAGATCGTGCCATTGCACTCCAGCCTGGGCAACAAGAGCGAAACTCCATCTCCAAAAAAAAAAAAAAAACAAGAGTAGTATTACTTATGTATTGGAAAAACCTTGGGAAGCAAAGATTATTCGTTTATTATTTATTTACTATTTAATTTTACTTTTTAAAATAGAGACGGGGTCTCATTATATTTTCCAGACTGGTCTCAAACTCCTGGGCTCAAGTGATCCTCCTGTCTCGGCCTTCTAAAGTGCTGGGATTACAGACATGAGCTACCTTGCCTGGCCTTAAAAATGATTTTAGCTTGGCCAGGCGCGGTAGCTCACGCTTCTAATCCCAGCACTTTGGGAGGCCCAGGCGGGCGGATCACAAGATCAGGAGATCAAGATCATCCTGGCTAACAAGGTGAAACCCCGTCTCTACTAAAAATACAAAAAAATTAGCCCGGCGTGGTGGCGGGCACCTGTAATCCCAGCTACTCGGGAGGCTGAGGCAGGAGAATGGCATGAACCCGGGAGGCGGAGCTTGCAGAGAGCCGAGATCGCGCCACTGCACTCCAGCCTGGGTGACAGAGCAAGACTCTGTTTCAAAAAAAAAAAAAGATTTTAGTTCACTATTAATATTGTTGTAGAAAAACAGCTCCTATTAACATTTTTCCTCAGGTTTCTTACGTGGGTTTTTTGGTAATAGTATGTATTCTTTTTTTTTTTTTTTTTGAGACAGGGTCTCTCTCTGTTGCCCAGGCTGGAGAATAGTGGCGTGATCTCTGCCCACTGCCACTTCTGCCTCCCAAGCTCAAGCAATTCTTGTGCCTCAGCCTCCTGAGTAGCAGGGACTACAGGCACAGGCATGTGCCACTACGCCCAGCTAATTTTTGTATTTTTAATAGAGACAGGGTTTCACCATGTTGGCCAGGCTGGTCCTGAACTCCTGACCTTAAGTGATCCACCCACCTCAGCCTCCCAAAGTGCTGGGATTACAGGTGTGAGCCACCGAACCTGGCCAATAATATTATGTATTATTTATATAAATATACTGATTTTTCACATACACTATTAACATAATTATTTTCTTTTTATTATACATGCTTCATAGATAGGTTTTGTGATGAATAATAGTCTTTGCAGGTGTGTTTTAGTTAATCATAGTCCTATTATAAGGATATTCAGGCTTTTTAGTTTTTCAGTTACATGTAGTACTGTCATAAAGATCTCTGTAGAAAGCTTTTTTCATTTTCAAAGTGATATTTTTAAGATGTATTCCTAGACATGGAATTACCGAATTGAAGAAGATGAAAATGTTTTAAGTTCTTGACATTTCTGCCAAATTACACTCTGAAAAGATTTTCAATATACTGAGCACAGAGTATCCTCTTTTCAAATATTTTTAAAAATTTGTTATTAGGGAAATTACATCTTTCCATGTGTTGTTAACCAGCTGTGTTTCTTTTTAAGAAAGTTCTTGGCCGGGCGCAGTGTCTCACGCCTGTAATCCCAGCACTTTGGGAGGCCGAGGCTGGCGGATCACGAGGTCAGGAGATCGAGACCATCCTGGCTAACACGGTGAAACTCCGTCTCTACTGAAAATAAAAAAAAATAAAAAAATAAAAAAATTAGCCAGGCGTGGTGGCGGGTGCCTGTAGTCCCAACTACTCGGGAGGCTGAGGCAAGAGAATGGCGTGAACCCGGGAGGCAGAGCTTGCAGTGAGCCAAGATGGTGCCACTGCACTCCAGCCTGGGCAACAGAGCAAGATTCCGTCTCAAAAAAAGAAAAAGAATGTTCTTCACCCAAAATATATTGGGATCTTGGGATTAAGAAACAATCTTTTTAATCAAGTGTTTTGTTTTTTTTTTCATTTTGTAGCCAAAGAAACTCTCCCTGATTTGGTTTCCATCATTCCTGACACAGTCCCGAGTACTGACCTTCTCATTGAAACTACAGCCTCTGCCTGTTACACATTGAACAACATAATCCAAAACAGTTACCAGAATGCACGCGACCTTCTAAACACCGGGGGCATCCAGAAAATTATGGCCATTAGTGCAGGCGATGCGTAAGTCCTTCAGTTCTGCCCGTCAGCTGCCTCCCTTTCCCCTCACCAGCCTGTGTGTAAATAATCCGGTTGTGAATGTGCGGTCATGACCATCATGTGCAACATGGCAGCAAACAGGATGTAAAGCCAGGCCAGATCATCTGGTCAGCCCTCAGTGATCAGCCAAGGAAAGAACTGAATCCACCACACCACATGCTTGTCCCTTCTCTTCTAAAGTATCAACAGAGGGTCAGACTCCAGAACTTCTCTTGGTTGTGCATTCCAGCATTGTATTGGCCTAATGAATTAGTTTCCCAAAGCCACAGCTGTGATTTAATAACAGCAGAATGTAGGCAAAGCAGGAGTCCTCTGAATAGGCAAGTGCCCTTTTCCTCACTTCCATCTTAGGAGGGGATGTCACACCAGGTGGTTTAGAAGAAGCAGTGATGGGCTGGGCACAGTGGCTCATGCCTGTAATCCCAGCACTTTGGGAGGCCCAAGCAGATGGATCACTTGAGGTCAGAAGTTCGAGACCAGCCTGGCCGACATGGCAAAACCCTGTCTCTAGTAAAAATACAAAAATTAGCTGGGTGTGGTGGTGCGTGTCTGTAATTCTAGCTACTTGGAAGACTGAGGTTTGAGAATCACTTGAGCCCAGGAGGCAGAGGTTGCAATGAGCCGTGATCGTGCCACTGCACTCCAGCCTGGTTGACAGAGTGAGATTCTGTCTCAAAAAAGAAAAAAAAAAAAAAGCAGCAGCAGCAGTGATGACACAGGAGAAGCAGTCAGGGGGTAGCCTGATGAGAAAGTCTTGCTTTCACAGTTTTTTCTCTGTCTTATCTCTTCCGCATCTTATTCCCTTTTGATAATAGAAGGTCCAATGCATGTCATTCCACATCTGTGTTCCTGTTTTCAACTTTTCCCTATTAAAAAAAAAAAGGAGGAGAATGAAAAACCTTGTATAACCAAATTATTTACTATTAGTTAATTTAGAGTGATGAGATTGGAAAGGGGCATGAAGATTATCTTTTTCTCTTTATACAATTCTGAATTGTTTGACTTATTACAAATAGATATGTTACTTTTGTAAATAACCAAACAAGAAAAGAAATGGCTATGATAGCCTAGTTTTAATGAGTTACAAAGCAGATGACTTCACCTGTACTGAAGAAATGTGTGCTTGGCTGTACAGGGATGTACATGTTACCTCTACTACAGCCCCACCCAATTTAGGCCCCTTCTGCTCTGCAGCCCCACTCTGCAGTGCACACAAGGAAGGAAGACTGCATTTAGAGTCAGATTAAAACAAGCCCTGAGCACTGGCTGGAGTGTCAGTTCCCCAAGAATATTCACCCATCCCCAGAGGCTGGCAGATAGTATTAGAGTTGCTCAGTCTTTGTGGAAAGAGTGAATTACTGTTGCAAAACAGAAATGACTTTTCTTCCAAATAGTCATCCAAACTTCCAAGCAAATCACCGTAAGATAGTATGATGCTCATTATTCGAGTATTCAGACATAACAATTGTTGCACATGGCAATATGCAATTACTTTTGGAAACTTCTGGTAGCTTAGCAAGATAAGGGGTGAGCTACTCTGTTACTTGTTTATTTCCGAGTGTCCACTTGTGAGTCCTCACATGCCCTGTCTCAAAAACAAAAGTTAACAAGGAGCTTCTTGCCAGTGGTGTCTGCTGCTCTTTCCTTACTAGAGTGTTATATATCTGACCTACCGTTTGTGGACTAGCCTGGGAACTAATTATCATTTATAACATTACATCTTTGAATAAAAGAGTACCAAGTATCAAACAACCAACTTATAAACAAATATTATGAATATAACAGCCTTGCAATTTAATAACTTTTTACAGTTTTGAATATTAGAGACCCATCACTTTGATGGATTTATTTGCCCTTCAGTTATTACCAAGTGATTCTGAAAAGTCCAGGGGTTACTAATAAGTGCTGATTTGACTGCTCCTCCCTGCCAGGCTAGTATGGAGGAGAAAGACTTTTCACTCTTGAAGGAACACACCATGCTCTTCTCCGTACATCTTTGCACTCTCTGGTTTTGGTTTTATGTTTACAAATGCCTGTGATATGGGGGGAAAAAGAATCTTTGTTTAAGAAAAAAAATCAGCCATGTGCTAATCAGGTGATAGAAGAGAAAGAGATCTAAGGCGGCACTGATCTAAGCCAGAGGTGGGACATTTAGGATAAAGTTAAAAGCAGAACATGGGCTGGGCACAGTGGCTCACATCTGTAATCCCAGCACTATGAGAGGCCGAGGCAGGCGGATCATGAAGTCAGGAGATCGAGACCACCCTGGCTAACACAGTGAAACCCCATCTCTACTAAAAATACAAAAAATTAGCCTGGCGTGGTGGCATGCGCCTGTAGTCCCAGCTACTTCGGAGGCTGAGGCAGGAGAATCGCTTGAACCTGGGAGACGGAGGTTGCAGTGAGCCGAGATCGCTCCACTGCACTCCAGCCTCAAAAAAAAAAAAAAAAAAAAAAAAGCAGAATATGAAAGACTAAGTACAGTTCAAATGCAGTGGTGACTTTGATTTATAGCAAGAACAAGTTTTCCATTTGCTCTATATGGAAACGTAAAGAGATTTTGAAACTGCTTTAACAAGGGCTGCCACAAGAATTTCTTTTATTGACTTGAAAAATTACTCCTACATTCATGATGTCACAAAATCGTATGTATTTTTCAGTCATGGTTTCATGCATTTTTATTCTATAAACATACATTATAAGTATACAAATATAGATTATATTCTATAAATAATTCAAGGATTTATAACATATCTAAAGATACATTCCTTATAAATATCAGGGATTTTTCTGTATAAATTACTTGTTTGTTTATTATTATTATTATTATTTTGAGATGGAGTCTAGCTTTGTCACCAGGCTGGAGTGCAGTGGCGTGATCTCGGCTCACTGCAACCTCCGCCTCCCGGGTTCAAGTGATTCTCCTGCCTCAGCCTCCCGAGTAGCTGGGATTACAGGCACACACTGCCACGCCCAGCTAGATTTTGTATTTTTAGTACAGACGGGGTTTCACCATGTTGGCCAGGATGGTCTGACCTCGTGATCTACCCACCTCAGCCTCCCAAAAGTGCTGGGATTACAGGCGTGAGCCACCCCACCTGGCCTATAAACTATTTATTTATTAGCACTGTGCTAGTGGTTTAAAAAGAAAACAAAAACAGATATGGTCCCCGCCTTGCAGAGCTTGCTGCCTAATTGTCTGGTCACCGAGTGGCCTGACTTCATGGATGGCTGCTGCGGAGTAGCAGTTGAGGAGCGAAGAGGTCTTACAGAACACCCACAGGCCGCATCCAGAAGCCTCACTCATTCTCCCTGATCTCAGAATGTCCTTTTCTTTTCAGCTATGCCTCCAACAAAGCAAGTAAAGCTGCTTCCGTCCTTCTGTATTCTCTGTGGGCACACACGGAACTGCATCATGCCTACAAGAAGGTAAGAACATGAACAAGGAATGTGTCATAGTTAACAGAGCCAGGTAATAATGGCCCACTTGACTTGACCCTGGGAAGAAATCGCTAAAAAACTGCATTTTCTTGTGTGCCAGTTTTGTTACCTTTCACGTTTCTGTTTGCTTATTCCAAAGGCTCAGTTTAAGAAGACAGATTTTGTCAACAGCCGGACTGCCAAAGCCTACCACTCCCTTAAAGACTGAGGAAAATGACAAAGTATTCTCGGCTGCAAAAATCCCCAAAGGAAAACACCTATTTTTCTACTACCCAGCCCAAGAAACCTCAAAAGCATGCCTTGTTTCTATCCTTCTCTATTTCCGTGGTCCCCTGAATCCAGAAAACAAATAGAACATAATTTTATGAGTCTTCCAGAAGACCTTTGCAAGTTTGCCACCAGTAGATACCGGCCACAGGCTCGACAAATAGTGGTCTTTGTTATTAGGGCTTATGGTACATGGCTTCCTGGAATCAAAATGTGAATTCATGTGGAAGGGACATTAATCCAATAAATAAGGAAAGAAGCTGTTGCATTACTGGGATTTTAAAAGTTTGATTTACATTTATATTCCTTTTCTGGTTCCCATGTTTTGTCACTCATGTGCACATTGCTTCGCCATTGGGCCTCCAGTGTATTGTTCTGCAGTGTTGAAACAGAATGGAAATGACAAGAAATATCTGCAGTTATCCAGGAGAAAGTATAATGGCAAAATTATTGGTTTCTTTCTTTACTTTGTGCTTGTTTTTATCCCCTTGGGTTGTTTTTCTCTGATTTTTAAATAAACTTAAGAAATTTAGATTACAGAGTATGCATGACTGTAAGAAA
Source organism: Homo sapiens (assembly GCF_000001405.40). NCBI lineage: Eukaryota > Metazoa > Chordata > Mammalia > Primates > Hominidae > Homo > Homo sapiens. The sequence goes on along the minus strand of NC_000012.12, from coordinate 32,791,803 downwards.
AAGAAATTGAGAGGAAGTGATCATAGCAAATTAAAGAAGTCTTTTCCTCCCAGAACTTAAAGTAAAATAAAAAATAAATAAATAAATAAAATCTTTTCCACAGAGAAAGGCAACTGTGATGATAAAATTTAACGTTCCCCCAAACACTGAGTCAATGAGATTTTTCTCAGGAGATACTTTACCTATAACAACGCCGTTAAATCCAAATCTCTTCTAAACGATGGCATTCTATGTAATGCCTTTCCTGGACTTTTTTGGCCACTGCCCTGGACTAGTGAAAGAATGGACTCTATCTTTATCTGCAAGAGGAACTAAGGCCTTCTCTCAGACTGCCTGGCCAGCCTGGGGCACTGAAAATACGGCTCATGTTAATGAGTTACATTATCAGCCAGCCCAGCCTTGCCCACCATTTAAGAAATATCACAGAGCCACTAGATCTCATATGATCTTCTTCAAGCCATTATTTTAACTCAAGAAAACTCTAGAGAAGAAAAGTGAAGAAGTCATGTTGAAGAAGATGTAAGAATGTGTCAAGACCATCCAGAAATGATATGAGAAATACTGATATTTTAAATGGTTGACATCATCCAGCGAAATGAATCTACATTAAATGTTGTTTTAACTGCGCTATGATTAAAACCATTCATATAGAGTTAGTCTTTACAACTACTATTCTGTTATTTTTTTTTTTAATCTGACAACATTTGTCCTAAGTAAGATAAGCAAAAAAATTCTTCAACTCCTTTTGGCAAGAAAACTGTAACAGAAAATAAATTTTGAATGTGTACTTAAGTCTTTATTATATTTGAAGCAATTTTTTTTCAATTTTAAAAGCTGAATGAAGACAACTTAGGTTGCTAACCTAGTTCAAAATGAAATTATTTAGATACCAATTTTTAAAATACTGGAGAGAATTTATATGTCTTTTTCCAGAGTTCTGATGATAAGCATTTGGAGTGCATTTATTCCTCCAGATAATAAATGTGTGTTCAGAACTTTTTGTGTTTTTTAAGGCATTAATAAAGCCTTCGATAATATTAAATACAAAATGAGACCAAAGTAGTGTTGCTTGCATTGGCGTCTGTGTATATCTGGTTTATTTGTGTATCTTGGAATATATGGTATGATTGACATAAAATTTGAGGATTTAACCTTATAAACTTCAATTACTAAGGGTTTGATACTTTGTAATTAGTTATATTTTCCCCTTAATTAAAATCCTAAATTTTTACCAAGAGACATTTCCTGTGAGAATGGTGGGACTAGATGGTGACCTGACCATAAAAATGAAGACACATGCAGACGTGTTAGCTGCGGTTAGATTTTAGTATATTATTGGGTGATTCTGTGACTGTGAAAAGACAGACTACGTTTGATTTCCATGTGCTGCTTTGTTCACTCTGTTTGCAAACACCTCACTACTTTACAATTTGTGAACACCTCTCAGGGAGGTTCTTCTGTGAATGAACAGTTTTGATCACAGGTCTATACATAAATGTGTTTGTTTTCCTATGTGTCCCAGACAGGGCCCATGCCTTCAGAGAAACTAATGGGCAAAGCTGGGCCTTTTTGTTTATTTGTTCCAAAGGGCTGCTCTCTGTCAAGAATTCTTAATGGTCTTCTGGAATGAAGGGGGTTGCTGCCCTAGATTTCCATCACTGGAAACGTTTGTGTAGATCTGATGGCAATAACCAAAGGGTTATCTGATAAAATAGAGAGGGGATTAACATGTCAAGTGGGAGAATAAGCAGCAGGACTAGATAAACCACTATAAAACCAATTTAATCACCTTCTGAAGAAGCAATTTCTTAGAAGAAAACAGGAGATGGGAGATATATATATATATACACACACACACACATACGTTTATATATAGACACCTACATATATATATATATGTGTGTGTATGTGTATGTGTGCCTATATACTATAGTTATAAAATGAGATTTCCCCTAAATAAAATGTCTAATGAACTTACTGCTTTGGAATAAGGAGGACTTCAGTATGTGTGTACATTGAACAAAATTGCAGAAGAAGCCTCAAATCACAGAATCTCAGGATTAAGAGGGAATTTAGAAGGCATTTGGTCAAATCCTCCTCAAAGTATCATCTTGCATGAAAAAGATTCAGTTCTTATTAATGTGACAGAAAAGAAAAACATACAGTCATACACTCAACTAATGCTCAACATGACCATATAACTGGCTCTTTTCAAGACTCACTGTTGGATTAAAGTATTTCTTGTGGGAGGGAAAATAGATAAGGGAGCAAACTTTTCAAAATAAAATTCTGCTTTAAGTTTCATGTTTTAGTTTATAGTGATACTGACAGTTTCATCACTTATGAAGTAAATGTTAACCTTTGAAGGACTATAAGAAAAACTCTTTGTGATATGATGTTCAGGAAAGAGCTCAAAAATCCCAAGCATTGGCATAAGAATTGTTGAAAATATGAGCAGAAGGGAAAGTGCCCTGAAGGCCCTAGTCTGGGAGACTCAGTGAAAGGATCCAGCAGTCCTTAGCCTGAGAAGGGTGCTGTGTCACCTCTCTGTACATATTTGAAAGCCCACTGTAGAGAAGATGATAGGCTTGTTCTGGCATAACACAGAGGATGAAACCAGGATCAATAGGGGGAGGCTGTTATGAGACTAGCTTTGATAGGGTAATAGTGGACATATATTGAGTACTTCTCACAGCCTCATGAAATCATCCTTTTCTTTTTCTTTTTCTTTTTTTTCTTTTTTTTTTTTTTTTTTTTTTTTTGAGACAGAGTCTCGCTCTGTGGCCCAGGCTTGAGTGTAGTGGTGCCATCTCGGCTCACTGCAAGCTCCGCCCCCCAGGTTCAAGCAATTCTCCTGCCTCGGCCTCCCAAGTAGCTGGGACTACAGGCGCATGCTACCACGCCCGGGTAATTTTTTCTGTTTTTAGTAGAGACAAGGTTTCATCTCGTCTTGATCTCCTGATCTCGTGATCCACCCCACTCAGGCTCCCAAAGTGCTGGGATTACAGGTGTGTGCCACCACACCCGGCCTACTTGTTAACATTTTAAGAAGCATGAGAAAGAAAACCTCGAAGCAGACAGAGGTTAAGTCATAGCTGGAAAGTACAGAGGGGCTTTGTGAACCTAGATGGTTTGGCTCCTCTCTGGGAGTCCCCTGTGAACCAAGAATGAACAATCCATGTCTCCGTGCTGGTGAACAGTGGAGGTCTCTTTGGCTTTGCTATCTTTAGAGAGTAAAGAGTTCAGTATGACATCATGGTTAAGAGGGCTCATTCTAGAACAGCCAGTCTGCGCTCAAATTGTGGTTTCTCCACTTATTAGCTGAGGCACATCTCTTATTCTCACTGAGCCTCAGCTTTCCTTATCTGTAATGTGTGAGTGACAGTAGGATTTACCTCATTGGGTTGTTTTGAGGGTTAACTGTGTTAATAAATACAAAGCATTTGAAACAGTGCCTAATAGTATCTACTCAATAAATGCTGATACGGTTTGGCTGTGTGTCCCCACCCAAATCTCATCTCAAATTATAATCCCCACATGTTGAGGGAGGGACCAGGTGGGAGGTGATTGGATCATATTGGATCATAAGGGTGGTTTCCCTCATCCTGTTCTGCTGATAGTGAGTTCTCATGAGATCTGATGGTTTTATAAGGCAGTTTTCCCTGCTCTTACTTGCTCTCTCTCGCCTGCCACCATGTAAGACATGCCTCTTCCCCTTCCACCATGATTGTAAGTTTCCTGAGGCTCCCCCAGCCATGTGGAACTGTGAGTCAATCAAACCTCTTTCCTTTAAAAATTTCCCGGTCTCGGGTATTTCTTGATAGCGGTGTGAAAACAAACTAATACAAATGCTAACTAAATTACTTGCAATTTCCTGGTTTGGAGGTCTTTGCTTTTCATTTTAAGTTCATCTCTTGTGAATTTCTCTTTGTGGATATGGCTGGTTCAGTTAAAAGCCCCAATAGAAGGCCAGGTAGAAATGAGGAAAACAAATATGGCCCAGGCAAGTGACTCTGAATGTCCGTTCTTCAGAAAGTGAGTCCTTTGTGGGTAGTTAAGTGTTACATGAAAAAATAAGTATGTTCTTTATGAAAAAAAGCATAGTTATACAAAGATCAAAAGATTCTTGACCATGGCATGACTTCTCAGAATGCCATGAGTGCACTGTAATTGTAAAATCTCCAAGGAGGGACAGCTTATGCTGCATGTCAGAGACCTGTTCTTTGAAGCTGTAAGCCCTTTTTTTCTTAGACAACTCTTGAAGCTATGCCGCTGCTGTAAACTCTGACCAACATCCACCTGTGCCATACGCAAGAGGACAAGGGGTGTTTATCTGGCTCTCAGTACAGTTCATCAAGCTCCAAACATTCCACCTTCAGAGAGCCATGTCCAAAGGCCAGAAGAATAAACCTTTCTTGAGCCCTTTTTTATAAGTAAATTTTTCTAGAAATCTCCATCAAACATCTTTTATTTCTTATTGCCCAGAATTGCATTGCACATCATTCCTAAGCCAGTTTCTGGTGAGAAAAGTGCAACTACTATGCCTTTAAGCCAATTACATTTCACCGAAGGCTGGACCTACCTTCCCTGAGGCTCATGGAGGGTTTTACTGAGCAAGGGGGGAAAGAATGGCTGTAGACTAGTCAGCCAACATTGATAACTGGATGTAGTTCAGAGAGATACTCAATGAAGGAATAATTCAACTTTTTTTTTAACAAATTGATTTCACCTGGCCTATAAGAGCACCTTGGTTTTTTTCAAACCCTGCAGGTGTGTCTACTGTAAGTTTTTCTACTATGATTGTTGTGTTGCATTTAGGACCCAGTCCATGAAAATCTGTGGGTAAAGAATGATGGGCAAGCTAGGAACTGCAGTTAGCCCAGTGATTTCAGGGAGAATAATAAAAGTGATGCTCAGTTTTACAACAGGGAGTGGAAAAGTCATCTCAGAAGCTATGGTGCCTCTTTTTCATTCTCTCCTTTGTTTGACATCCACCATTTCTCACCTTTAAGTTGTAATTATGGACCCAAAGTTGTACTTTCATTGACAGAATCATTCTGAAAGAAAGTCGGCCTGCGCCTGAGGTTGTTGGATAGTCTAGTTTCCCCACTGAGACATCAGCCCTGGCAGTGTAACCCAGTGGAGAGAACGTGAATTTGAATTCTGACTTTGTCTCTGGCTGTGTGACTCTGCAGGTAACTTTAATTTTCTGGGTGTCCATTTTACCTCAGTTCTTCGTAGGATTGTTAAGGGAATAAAATGAGATGATGTTGTCAAAATGTCTGCCACCTGGGCACTCAAGAAAAGGTAACCATTACTTCCTCTTGTAGATCTGGCTGCCACCCAGGGACCCCCAGGCTTCAACATCTGCCTCCTGCCTCTTCCCCCCACCCCTGACCCTACCACTACCACCACCCGTTTTATTCCCATGCTTTCCACCGGGTCCTAGGGATCATCTTCGAGCAGAAAGCAAATTCCACAGTGGCAAAACAGGAAATGATGAGGGGGTGGGGGAAATGTACCTGCAGAATCTCCTCATTCCCAGCAGCCTCTCCTCATGGCTCCAGGTTTCAATCACTTCTCTTGCTGATCTGTTATTCACAACCGCACAGTTCCTTGACCTCCCCATTTCCACACCAAACCCCATCCTTCTGGAGAACTCAAATCAGGGGAGCCTTCCAGGGACACAAAGTGAGAGGACTCCCCTTCTTGCTGCTAGGGTTGCAGCAGAAGACAATGTGGTCTCGCTAACCCAGGTGGAAATAATATGTTTTCCTAGTTTTAAAACAGCATCTGTACTACCCAGGGTAAATAATGGATTAGGTCAGCCCAATAGTAATAATTGATTTACTTTTCTGGAAAAAAAAAATTTTTTTTTGGAAGATAACTTGGAGCCAACACATGTTTTCTGTTCATATGAAAGTCAGATGTGGCAAAGACTCTCATTGCCTCCACCATATCCTTTTTCTCCCTTTTCCAACACAATAGAAAGTCTAACAGAGCACATGGTACTCAGAATAAAGACTGCATTCCCCGGGCAACTCGCTTGGGTCCCCTTCCACACTGTGGAAGCTTTGTTCTTTCGCTCTTCACAATAAATCTTGCTGCTGCCCAAAAAAAAAAAGAAAGAAAGAAAAAGGAAAGACTGCATTCCCCCTCCTCACTACCGAATGAGGGCATGGGACTGAGAGCTGGCCGGGGGGATGTGAGTGAAGGACAACCCAGCAGCTCCTCAAAGGCTTCCTTCAGAGATGGTGGGCACGTGTGTGCCCTTGCCCTCCTTTTTCCCCCTTTGTTCATCCTGGCTGGAAGCTGATGCTGCCTTCCTGAACCACAAGGATGGAGGCCACTCTTGTATGGCAGTACAGTGACCTGAGAGGAGCCGGGTCACAGCAGCTCTGGATCCCTTACCTTCAGACATCTGCACACATGAGAGAGAAATAAACTTTCATTGGGTTTAAGCTACTATTTTGTTTTTTATAAATCACACTCAAACTTAGTTGTAACTATTACTTCTTGACACCACATCTAGAGCAAAATCAAATTTTAAAAAAATAGTCCAGGCATGGTGGCTCATGCCTGTAATCCCAGCACTTTGGGAGGCCAAGACAGGTGGATCACTTGAGGTCAGGAATTCGAGACCAGCCTGGCCAACATGGTGAAACCCCGTCTGTACTAAAAGTACAGAAATTAGCTAGGCGTGGTGGCACACACCTGTAATCCCAGCTAGTGGGGTGGCTGAGACACGAGAATAGCTGGAACCCATGGGGCAGAGTTTGCAGTGAGCTGAGATCACGCCACTGCACTCCAGCCTAGGCAACAGAGCGAGATGCCATCTCAAAAAAAAAAAAATTAAAATTTACAAACCCAGGAGATATAATGCCTCTGTCCTAGGTTAGAACACCAACTAGAAGATTAAACTGCTAGTGAGAATACACAGATAATTGAACTCAGTGAGTAAATTTTGGACTTTAGATCCCTTTATCCTATTGATAATGCTCTTTACAAAGCAGTCTTCAGCCATGCTCTGAAATCAATTCTGCTATATAGACAATACAAGTCCAAGAGAGAACTGGAAGGAACAGAACTGACCTAATGGTGCCAAATTTCCCTTGGGAACCATACCTGTAAGGAAAAAAAAAAAAGTAGTACCTAAAACAATTTGTAAAACTATATAACTAACCAATAGCCAAGATATGGAAGCAAACTAAGTGTCTGTCATAGATAAATGGATAAAGAAAATGTGGTATGTATGTGTGTGTATACACACACACTAGATAGATAGATAGATGATTGATTGATAGATAGATAGATAATAGATAACCCTATTCAGACTTAAAGATGAATAAAGTCCTATCACACACTACAACATGGCTGAACCTTGAGGACATTGAGCTAAGTGAAATAAGCCAGTCACAAAAAGACAAATACTGAATGATCTAAGTTACATGTGGAATCTAAAAAGTCATAGGCTGAGCATGTTGGCTCATGCCTGTAATCCCAGCACTCCCTGCAATCGCAGAAGTCCAAGACTAGCCTGAGCAACACGGGAAGATCCCATCTCTACAAAAAATTAGTCGGACATTGTGGCATGTATGCCCTTAGTCCCAGCTACTCAGGAGGCTGAGGTGGGAGGATTGCGTGAGCCCAGGAGGTCAAGGCTGCAGTGAGCCACGATCACACCACTGCACTCCAGCCTAGGCAACAGAGTGAGACTCCATTTCAAAAAATAAATAAAAATTAAAAAGTCATACTCAGCCAGGCATGGTGGCTCATGCCTGTAATCCCAGCACTTTTGGGAGACCGAGGCAGGAGGGTCACTTGAGCTCAGGAGTTCGAGACCAGCCTGGGTAATAAAGTGAGACTCCCCTCTCTACAAAAAATCAAAAACCTAGACGGACGTAGTGGTGCACACCTGTAGTCCCAGCTACTCAGGGGGCTGAGGCAGGATAATTGCTTGAGCCCAGAAGGTCAAGGCTGCAGTGAGCCGTGTTTGTGCCACTGCACCAGCCTGGGTGATAGAACAAGACCCTGTCTCAAAAAAAAAAAAAGAAAGAAAAGTCATAGAATCACTGTAAGAATGGTTATTGCGGGCCAGGGGTAAGGAAATGGGGAAATGTTGGCCAACAAACTTGGCAGTTTTAAGGTGAATACGGTCTGGAGACCTAATGTACAGCAGGGTAACTAGTTAATGCTGTATTGTATACTCGAAATTCTCTAAGAAAGTAGATCTTAAATAATCTCTCCAAAAAAAGCTAAGGAAATAGATATGTTAATTAGCTTGATTGTGGTTGTCATTTCACAGTATATACATATATGAAAACATCACATTATACATCTTGAATATATATGTTTTTTATTTGTCACTTACACCTTAATAAAGATGAGGGGTGGGGGAAATACTGTGTAGCAAACAAAGTCTGCTTTCTTCAGTGTATTTGCTGATAGATGTCAAGAGGAAATCGTTTTCTGCCAAACTTAGGTCGCATTTTTTAAAGACTTGCAGGAAAACCATAGTTGCCTGATACAATGTATCTGACAGAGGCAATGTTTGACAAAAGGCATCCAGTTTTGCATGTGCATATTATGTTTAGGAAACATTGCCAAGTCATAATAAACAGTCCTATGTGGATTTGTGGGATTTTTGCTTCATGAATCTTGCCTTTGGGCACTCAGCACCCTGTTTGACTTCTGAATTTCCTACTGTATCGTTGGGGCTAGATTTCTCAGCCCCTCACAGTTGGGTTTTGGATGCAGCTTAGGTTCTGCCAGTAGGATCAGTTGGGTAAGAAGGTGGAGGCCATTTTCTAGGAGGTGTTATGGTTGGGGAGCAAGTCCCAGTGTAAGTCATCAGCCTCTAGTCACCAGCTTCCTGAGTGCTGGCATCCTTGATAGTGGCAGATGTGGTGGCAGTTAAGTGCAGCAGCCTGCCCCAACTTCTGCTCCTCCAACCCTTTCCACAGTTATATAAGCACCCAAATTCCTGTACTAAATATTTTCTGGGTGTTGGGTGCACCAAACTCTCAAATCACCACTAAAGAACTTACTCATGTAACCAAACACCACCTGTTCCCCAATAACCTATGGAAATAAAAAAAAATTAAATACTTTCTGCAGATATCTAGAGTGAATTGTGTTTTCTGCACTAAACCCTGGTACATATTCTAACCATTTTTATTTTCTAGGAATTGGAATAATTAATTTACCAGAAAAGCCTAATCTTGTTTGTTAATGGAGTTTTTTTAATGTTTATAACATTAAAACAGAGATCTTTGGGCCAGGCACGGTGGCTCACACCTGTAATTCCAACACTTTGGGAGACCAAGGCGGGTGGATCACTTGAGGCCAGGAGTTCAAGACCAGCCTGGCCAACATGGCGAAACCCCGTCTCTACTAAAAATACAAAAATTAGCCGGGCGTGGTGGCGGGCGCTATAATCCCAGCTACTAGGGAGGCTGAGGCAGGAGAATCGCTTGAACTAAGGAGGCGGAGGTTGCAGTGAGCTGAGATCACGCCACTGCGCTCCAGCCTGAGTGACAGAGTGAGACTCTGTCTCTAAATAAATAAATAAAGAGATCTTTGGCCGGGCGCGGTGGCTCACGCCTGTAATCCCAGCACTTTGGGAGGCCAAGGCGGGCAGATCACGAGGTCAGGAGATCGAGACCATCCTGGCTAATAAAGTGAAACCCCATCTCTACTAAAAATACAAAAAATTAGCTGGGCATGGTGGTGCGTGCCTGCAGTCCCAGCTACTCAGGAGGCTGAGGCAGGAGAATCACTTGAACCCGGGAGGTGGAGGTTGCAGTGAGCCGAGATCGTGCCACTGCACTGCAGCCTGGGGGACAGAGTAAGACTCCGTCTGAAAAAATAATAATAATAAAATAAATAAAGAGATGTTTGGTATGTCATAAAGATTTTTATTTTTTAAACATTAAGCTTAACTTAAATAGCTGGTCATTTTCACATATAAATCTAGTAGTTTTTTCTATAAGGCTTTTACTTGATCTTAGATTAATATTTTAATAATGGATATGTTTAACAGAGTAATTTACCCCCAAATAATTAACACCTTAATTAATTAAATTTAGTAATAAATAGACTGGTAAATAGTTAAGCATGTTAAACTATAATAACATAATTTCAGTGTATCTTAAGGCCTTCACACCTAACAGGGTAGACCCAGACATTTGACAAACCAAACTCACCTAAACACTTAAATGGTGCTTACCAACCTGAGAAACCTGAGCGTAGAGATATAATACATCTGACGCCTTTAAACATTCAAATACTATTTATAAGCCAAATACTTTTCTCATGAAAATCACAAGACAAATATTAAACATTTCAAATTAAAATCCCAACTACAGAATGTCAGATTATCTTAAATGGATTAGATGTGTTAAATAACATACAGAGGCAGATTATAATGATGATTTTAAAACTGAACACTAAGTGTACATAGAAGTATTACAATTATTTACAATTTTTATTTCTGTCCTAATTTCTGTTATAGTTTCTGAGTCTTTGTGGGATTATATCGTTACTTATAACTAAGGAAAGCAGATTTATAGTCTCAGGGTAGCTGAGTCCAGTTGGTGTGAAATCAAGGATGAAAAAGCTGCCGCAGATCTAGGTACAGTCAGAGCTTCTAGCCCTGGACAAGGGGTCTGGGTGCTGGTTCCATTTGATTCTCCCTAAGCCACAGAAGACCTCTCTCTCCCCTTTCCCACAAATTTTTCTTCATAGAGTGATAGGACTTTTGAAGCATGTGCTTTTTCTTGCTACCTAGTCCCCTTACCCAACCTCTTACACCACTGTATTATCTTAGATGGGGTGCATACCTTTCTTACACACACGCACACACACACACACCCCAAACTGAGGTTGCAACTAATCTCTTTCCTGCCTCATTAGAGTTCATTGAATCCTGCAAACACACACACACGTTGTAATTAATCTTTTTTACGCTTTATTTTATTACGTATCTCATCAGCCATTATCTTTTTAAAAACATTATATGGACATTGCTGACTTTTGGCCCTGATTCAAAAAAACCTAAAGAAAATTAAAATTTAGAGAACAATCCTCCTTTAAGAAGAAAAGAAAAACTTCCTTTTTTCCTCCTAGGGAAAAATCATTGCCCCTGAGAGCGTAATAGCTTTGAGCTCATGGGAAATGAAGGGCATTTCCAGGTCTAGAATTTACATCCTACTTCAAAGACATGTTTCCTAGATCAAGAATACTTAGCAGTTTGAGATGTTTTAAAATCATTTCTGAACAAGCCACTACTGGGGTTTTTGCTTTCAAGAGTTTTAGTTAAATTTTGGCAAGCAGATACTTAAAGCTGTTGATTTGTTCTGTCTTTAGCTACTGGAACTTATTACGGAAAGCTGAGATTTCTTGCAGGAATTTCTTCTGTATCAGGAAAACAGTAAGAGAAAGGTCATTTCTAGCAATGCTATGCTTAGCAAATTAATCTTTTTTGAAATACTATTCACAACATTAGTACAATACAAAAACCCAAGCAGTTAGCCAAAACTCCTCATTCTTAGAGTTGTGGGCTGAAGTTCAACATTTCTTGACTCACTGCCCATGATTCATTATTTTGAAAAGTTGTGTTTTGGGCTCAGACCCCACCTTTGATAATCACAGCATTAAAATTCAAAAATGATGGTCAAGGTTATTTATGTGGTGACCATATGCAAAATTTATTTCTGTATTCCACAATTCTTTATTGATTCTGGCTTATCCTTTTGACTTTGCAGTTTTAAGAAAACATTCCCTTATACAGTCTTTCAACTATAGAGTTTATCAAGCAACTATAATGTGTTTGAATTTTTTAATGTTACTGTGTCCTGACAAAAAACAACCATTCTTTGGGGATAAATGTGTTAGCAGCAGAAAGTATGCATCTGGGTCTGCAGCAACCTCAATTCTTGCCTCCACAGAAGAAAGAATTCGACCGACGGACATAAGGCAGAAGGAGAGACCAAGGCAAGTTTTACAGCAGGCGTGAAAGTTTATTGAAAAGCTTTGGAACAGGAATGAAAGACAGGAAAGTATACTTGGAAGAGGGCCACCTGGGCGACTTGAAGGACAAGTGTCCCGTTTGACATTTTGACTTGGGATTTTATAAGTTAGCTTGCTTCTGGGGTTTTGTGTTACTTCTCCCCACACACCCAACTCCTGAGATGGGGAAGCTGCTGCTCACCAGTTTCAGGTGTTTCCTATCTATTAGGAGCCTGCTGTTCCCTAGTGCCAGCTGTGACCAGTTATTAGAGAGACAGTTAACAACCACTTGACCATCATCTGATGGTCACCTGACATTCCTGATGTGTATGTGGTGTGTGGGGGGCAGGGGGAGCCCTCTCCTGCCCTGCTCCTGCCCGACTAGCTACCTACTGTAACAAAAGGAGTCTAAGGAAGTGATATAATGAAGACATTCTATCCCCCTAAAAAACATTCCTGCTTGAATGAGATGTTTATATCTGGTTTGTCATAGTACCTGAAATTCAACAATTGGAGATTGAGGCTTTGAGTAAATAACATCTCTTTTAAAATACAAATTTTCTTAGACAACTTACACCAAAAGTTTACCCAGCATCAGAAGACTATGTAGAGCAAATCAATGGCATTAACATAATAAATCATCATACAACAGAATAATATACAGTAAAGAAAAAGAAGGAGCTGTGGCTACAAGCATCAATGAAAATAAGTCTAAATTGGAGTATGTTAAGCAAAAAAAGACAAAAATATAAAGTGAGTGTGATTCCATTTAAAGTTCAAAAACAAAACTACAAAAATTAATAGTACATACTTTTGTAGGTTTGGAAAGCTATAAAGGTGCAGAAGGAGCAGGATTGAAAATTTTTTATAAAAAACCTCTAAAGAGTTGCCAGTAAAAATTAACACCAAACCTAGGTCAGCAGTTACCTCTACTGGGGAGATTTGTGGGGGGCTTCCAAGGTATTGAAAATGGTCTGCTGCTTACACATAAATTACAAGTTCTCTAGTGTGATATATGTTATGTTTTAAAAGCATAAAACTAATTTTATCTTCTAAATAAATTACATATATTTAAGTTATACAACCTGATGTTATGGGATACATACAAATAGTAAAATGGTTACTACAGTGAAGCAAATTAACATATCCATCATCTCACATAGTTTCCCAATTTTTTGTTTTGTGGCAAGAGCAGCTAGAATCTACTTGTTTAGCAGGAATCCCAAATACAGCACAGTTTAGTTCCCTATAGACTTCATGTGGGACAGTAGCTCTCTAGACTTATTCATCCCATACATCTGCTACTTTGTAAGCTCTGACTGCATTTCCATAGTGTGCCATTAAAGATCCTCTAGAACAGAGGTCTGAAACACACAGCCCAGCTCCTGGGAGTGTTGGCAGCACCAGCTCTCAGCTGAGTCTCTCTCAGGGACTACCTTTTGGCTGAAAAGAGCCACAGCCCAAGGTGGGCGTGGTGGCTCATGCCTACAATCCCAGCACTTTGGGAGGCCAAGGTGGACGGATCACCTGAGGTGGGGAGTTCGAGACCAGCCTGACCAACATAGAGAAACCCCATCTCTACGAAAAATACAAAATTAGCCAGGTGTGGTGGCAGGCGCCTGTAATCCCAGCTACTTGGGAGTCTGAGGCAGGAGAATTGCTTGAACCTGGGAGGCGGAGGTTGGATCAAGCTGAGATTGCACCACTGCACTCCAGCCTGGGCGAGAGAGCGAGACTCCATCTCAAAAAAACAAAACAAAACAAAGCCGCAGCCCAAGGGCATGTCCTCTTCCTGGAGAAAGCCCATATACACAGACTGGTGAAAATATAAAGGTTCAGCCCTTGACCCCCAGTAGGATACACATGTGATGACATAAACTTGCAAAATATTAGAATACTTAGGGTTGACTAAATGCCAGCTAGATATCACTGAAAACAGATGTCATTCTACACAGCACGTTCTCAAAAGTGCATACTGTCAAGAACCTCTTGCTGAGATGTTTTTCATCAGCGGTCTCTTACAGTAACAAATATGTTTTAACATTTTAGAATACAAAAATCCATGATGGAATTTTCAGTTTTATATGTATATGAGGATTTGAGGCATTCTTTCCTAAATGGAATTAAAACAAAATAAAATATACAAGCCTAAAGTTTAGTTTTTAAAGAAATATTACCAATGCAAATGATACAACCTCAGTTTGTTATGACCAGGCTGCTGGTTAAGGGCTGATATTTAGAGGCAAGGAATTAAAAAGTCAAAGGGAAAGGACAACTGGAGTGTGATACCAGCATTTATCTTTCAGTCTTGTTTGAAAATCAGGTGGGACCTTCCCAGCTGTGTTAAATAGAAGATACCACCCTTTGGTCAGTTCTGCTTAACAAGATGAGCTCTGAGGGGGACTCTTAATTTATGCAACAAACGGGGAATTTTGAGAGAGGTGGAAAGCCTCTATTTTGGCTGAGAGTGGAAAAGAGTACAGAAATTATCTGAAGGCTGCTGGGTTTCGAAATGTAAACCCTCACTATCGTTTTGTCTCCTTCCTTCAATCTTTATGAATAACAATGTTCATTCAGACGTGAACTCTGGAAACCTACCCACCCAGAATTTCTAGAAACTCCATTGACTCGGGAATTTATCTGGCGAAATTTTCCCTCTCTAAAAATGGCAGTAAGGGGCCAGGCATGGTGGCTAACACCTGTAATCCTAGCACTTTAGGAGGCCGAGGCAGGTGGATCACCTGGAGGCCAGGAGTTCAAGACTAGCCTGGCCAACATGGTGAAACACCGTCTCTACAAAAAATACAAAAATTAGCCACCACCCTCAGTCCGCTAACTAGAGCCACATGAACTTGTCACATTTCTCCAGAACTTTTATGCAAGTCCTTTCATAATTCTATGTCTTTGCTCATGCAGAGCTGTTCACCTGAAATATATTTTCCCCCATTTCTTCACCTGGCAAACTTCCTTTCATCCCTCAAGATGTAAATCAAAAGAAATTTTTGTGATGTCTCGGATACCCCAAGCAGAGTTGGTTGTTCAAATTGTTTTAAAGTTCTAAGGTCCAGCTACTTAACCGTTCACTGTCTGTTTCCCCTGCTGAGCAATAAGTGGATTGAAGTTAGTATTGGTGTCTTGGTCATCTGTGGACACTCAGCTTCTCAAGCAAGGCTGGGCACAGAATAGGCACTCCATAAATGTTAATCATTGAATAGGCGAATCAATGAAGACACAATCCTTGTATTTTGAAATAAATATTTCCTCTGCAATCTATACTGTGCACGGCCTTCTACTTTCCTCCTTCTCTTCCTGCCTAGTTATCACTTAAAGATGTATGGAATGTTTAATACCTCAAGCCAGGCCTTGGGAAAACAATGAGTCCTTTACTCTTTCCTGGTAGCATCCCTTGAGTCGGCTGCTCCATTCAACTTAACCTCCTTTACCAATATGATTTCTCATTGTTTCCACACTTTAAAGTGTGACTAGTACTTTTGCCCATCGTAAAGCAGGGGTAGTGTTATTTTTAATGTCTTAATTTACTAGAAGTATCCTTTGGCCCTTGTTCCCCACGTCTTACCCACATTTTTTTTTTCGATAAGGACTCTCAGGTTGGCCTTTCTCTGCCTTTCTCTGACTCCCAGGACCTTTCTCCTGTGCCAGGGTGCCATGGCACATTGTAAAATTCTACACAGAGGAAGAGCACAAGCATTAAACCAAGTCTCTTAAACATATGTGTATATCTCTTGCACTAAAACCACCTAAATCCTTTAGGGAATATGGGCAAAGCAATGGGGTAAATGCAGTCACTCATTATAAACAAACACAGCTAAATCAATGCAAGAAAAGACCTCATAGATACACGTATATGAGACAGTGCAGAAGCTAAAAACTTAGAATTTGAAGCCAACCAAATCTAGGTTCAGATCCCAGCCCTCCCATGTAACATCTGAGTTGCCTCAACTTCATCATCTGTAAATTGGTACTAAAATTATACCTATGTCATAAATACATTATACCTGCCAGTTTCTAGCATCATGGTCTCAGGTCATCACCTATTAAATGAAACATTTTGGCCAGAAGATCAGCACATTTCTTCCAGCTCTAAATTATCCTGTGATTTTGTTACTGTATATGTTCCTCTGTTTCTTCTCTTCATTCCCTCCTTAGATTTATAAAAGAAAGGGAATTAACTATCATTGTTTATGACCAGTCTTTTAGTTTTGCCACTGATTCACAGTTCCCTTTCCCTAAACTCTAAATTCCCATGGGCACGTACACGAGTACTAGTGATAGCCCAACAACATCTCTCAAAGCTGCTAAACTGCTTTCTTTTGGATAGGGGTATTCCTAGATCAAAGATTAGGTTGAATATTGTTTTCAGTATTTCAGAAACACTGGTTTCTAGTCTTCCAGGTGATAAAGCATCAGACAAGAGAATTGTGACTATCTTCAGCAATGGTTTAAACCCCACAAGAAAACTGTGATTACTTCTAGGTTATTCTCCTTAAAAATGTGGGTATTTTTGAAGAGAACTCAAAATAGAATCAAACAGTTGGGAAAACCCATCTAAAAACTTTTATTTTTTTTTTTTTAGACAGAGTCTCGCTCTGTCACCAGGCAGGAGTGCAGTGGCGTGATCTTGGCTCACTGCAACCTCCACCTCCTGGGTTCAAGCGATTCCCCTGCCTCAGCCTCCCAAGTAGCTGGGACTACAGGTGTCCACCACCACGCCCAGCTAGTTTTTTTGTATTTTAGTAGAGACGGGGTTTCACCGTGTTAGCCAAGATGGTCTCGATCTCCTGACCTCGTGATCTACCCACCTCGGCCTCCCAAAGTGCTGGGATTACAGGTGTGAGCCACCATGCCCGGCCCATCTAAAAACTTTTTAAAAACTAGGATCGGCCAGGTGCAGTGGCTCATGCCTGTAATCTCAGCACTTTGGGAGGCCAAGGCAGGCAGATCACCTGAGGTCAGGAGTTCAAGACCAGCCTGGCCAACATGATGAAACCCCATCTCTACTAAAAATACAAAACTTAGGCTGGGTGCGGTGGCTCACGCCTGTAATCCCAGCACTTTGGGAGGCCAAGGCGGGCGGATCATGAGGTCAGAAGATCGAGGCCATCCTGGCTAACACGGTGAAACTCCGTCTCTATGAAAAATATAAAAAATTAGCCGGGCGTGGTGGCGGGTGCGTGTAGTCACAGCTACTCGGGAGGCTGAGGCAGGAGAATGGTGTGAACCTGGGAGGCGGAGCTTGCAGTGAGCCAAGATCGTGCCACTGCACTCCAGCCTGGGTGACAGAGCGAGACTCAGTCTCAAAAATTAAAAAAAATGAAAAAATAAAAATACGAAACTTAGCTAGGCATGGTGGCGCATGCCTGTAGTCCCAGCTATTCAGGAGGCTGAGGCAGGAGAATCACTTGAGCCCAGGAGGCAGAGGTTACAGTGAGCCAAGATTGTGGCACTGCACTGCAGCCTGAGTGACAAGAACAAAACTCCATCTCAAAAAAAAAAAAAAAAAGCTAGAATTATTAAGCTTAGTAAGAAGAAGTGGCAGAAGGCAAACTTAATAATGGTCTTCAGACCTAAAAGCTTTTTGCAAAAGAATAATAACAAACAGTTTTGAATCTCTCTTGGGTGCAGAACAAGAAAATTCCTTTTGTGATTGCTTGACACTGCTTGCAAATGCACTCACTACTTTTCCTTATGGCCGTTTCCACAAAATATCCTCATTTCCTTGTATCTAGTTTTCTTGGTCTTTAACTAACATTTATTGCCTTTTAAATGTAGGTATATTCGTTATGAAAGAGCAGTTTCTAATCTGCTTCCTCTTACACTGCTATAAAATCCAAAGCGAATGATAAGAAATATGGGTGTGTGAGCTTTTTGCTGGGCTGTCTGCCGAAAGTCTGCATTTTCACAGCCAGCAGGGCCCTAAGTTAAAGGTCGTTGTTAGGAGGAGAGCTGAGACCAGAACATCCCATAGGAGTCCTTCCCTCTTGTCTACTGAGAGGATTGACTGGGCCATTCCCTAACCAGGAGTTTAAAAACGTGTCCACCTTTTTACTCAGCATCATGAAGAGGAAGAGTCCACACACCTCTCATATGGGAAGAGAAGAAAAAGGAATGCTTCCCCTTCATCTCTTTGAGGACATACAAGTCATCAAGACCACTACAGTCCTCACTGATTAGAGAAGAAAAGCAGCTCAGGTTAAAAGTGGTTTCAGGACAGAGCTACAATAAATAATAAAGGACAGAAGGTGTGTCCGCCTTTGCCAAAAATGTTACACATGATATGTTTCTTGTTGACAGCCTCATAAAGTAGACATTATTGTCATCATATTTTAGATGATGAAGCTGAAACTCAAAATGGCTAAATAACTTGCTGAAAGTCACAGCCAGAGAAAAATGGAGCTGAGATTCAAGATCACCTCTATTTTACTCCAAAGCCCATTTCTTACCCGCACTATACAGCTCCCCCGATTCAGAGGGACTCTCATCCGAACCCTCTCAGGCCAGTCAAGCTGCAGAGCAGGACAAGGGCTTCAAGGGTTGGCATGGACCAGCTCTCAGAGAAAGGAGACATGTGGTTAGCAGGACTTTCACCAGCAGCGCAGAGATCAAAATGCAAGTGTTGAGCTAACAGTCACCTGAGAATCCCCACAAAATTCAAACCCTGGGTAAGAAGGTCAAAGTGAAGAATTAAAGCCCCTAGCAACAAGATCTTGGCTAAGAGGTCAGCATGCAACGACCTCAACTGAGGGGAAGCATTATCAGGCAGTACAAGATCAAGGCTGGATTCAAGGCTTATACCAACTATGAAAAACAAGAGTAGAACTGAGTGTAGACCTGTTTGGATTGGGATTAGCATCACAGAATCTTTAAAAGAAAAGGGTATCCACAGAGCAGGAACACAGAACTGGCTCATTATCTCAGGACAGGGCATTGTTGTCCTCTGTTCTTGCTTTAAGTTGCATTTGATATGTGGATGAATACCATCGAGGCAGCGTGTTTAGCTCTCAAAGCAAAGCAAGGCTCTGTGTCGTGTTACAGGGCAAAGAGTTGGCCTGCTGCAGAGACTTCAAAGTTCTAACAGAACTGATATAACCATAAAGAGAGATGATATTAATAATGATCTCTGCCCTTCCCCAAATGGTTCCCCCATTGGTGTGCTGGCTTTTGGGTATATTTATGCAAATCCCAATTCCAGGCCCCAGTGGTCTTGACCAACAGTTGCATCCACTGTCCATTCCTTAGCCTTTATATGTTTTCAATTCAAACTCTAGGCTTCTTGATGTCATCTTTTCCTGCCAATAGGATTTCATTTATACCCTAAATGCTTTCCACCAGAGATAATGCTGAATAATATCCTCTACTCAGTAGACTACCTTCAATTGAGGCATTAACAATAGTATCTTTTTATCCAAAGAAGCACACCTGGAAGAAAAAAGCAAGTTTTTTTTGTTGTTGATGGTGTTTTGTTTTGTTTTGTTTTCTGCAAACTTTACCTGCTGGGTTCAAGCGATTCTCGTGCCTCAGGCTTCCAAGGCTGAAAAAGCAAGTTTTGTTCCTCATAAGAACAAACAGTTCTGTGAAAATAATTTATTCTTGCTTTTTGGTTTATAAAATATAACATTACTACTCTTGATTCCTTTATCTCCCTCTCTTTCTTTCTTCCTTTCTTTCCTTTCCTTCCTGTTTCTTTCCTTTCTCTTTCCCTTTCCCCTCCCTCCCTCCCTCCTTCCGTCCCTTCCTCTCTCCTTCCTTCCTTCCTTCTTCCTTCCTTCCTTCCTTTTTCTAACAGGGTCTTGCTCTATCACCCAGGCTTGAGTGCAGTGACACAACCATAGTTCACTGCAGCCTCAACCTCCTGGGCTCAAGCAGTCCTCCCACCCCAGACTCAAGAGTAGCTGAGAACACAGGCATAAGCCACCAATGCCAGCACGCCCCCCTAATAGAAATGGAGTCTTGCCATGTTCTCTAGGCTGGTCTCAAACTCCTTGGCTCAAGTGATCAGCCCGCCTCGACCTCCCAAAATGAAAAAAAGTAAAAAACAAAAAAATTACCCTTCTTTCTTTAGGCTTTTTTTTTTTTTTTTTTTTTTTTTTTTTTCAGATGGAGCCTCACTCTGTCACCCAGGCTGGAGTGCAGTGGTGTGATCTTGGCTCACTGCAACCTCAGCCTCCTAGGTTCAGGCAATTCTCGTGCCTCAGCGTCCTGAGTAGCTGGGATCACAGGCCGTACCACCACACCCAGCTAATTTTTTGTATTTTTAGTAGAGACAGGGTTTCACCATATTGGCCAGGCTGGTCTTGAACTCTGGACCTCAAATGATCCTCCCGCCTTGGCCTCCCAAAGGGTTGAGATTACAGATATGAGCCACCATGCCCACCCACCCTTGTTTCTTAAAGCAAACGTTTTTTGAAGTCAGAGCCACTGCAGATGTATGATGCGGAGTTTATAGGCTTAGGGTGGAGTTTAGAAGCAGGGCTTACCTCTGGGTTATCTCTCTGTGCCCAACTTAGGACAAGGAAGTGATAAACCCAGAAACTCATTTATCTAACATGAGTTGCTTTTGAATTTATTATTGAGAATAATCGTCATGTTTTGTGTTAAAGATTACATACTAACCATATCTTTCACCTTTCTTCCTATATTTGACTGTTACAACAGTTAATTGGGTCAATATATGAATATGTGAGCTCTCTCTACCAATAAAGCATTATGCCTGGCATTGTAAAGGACACATTGCTCAGTCTCATTTATTGCTGGCAATAATTGCTATTACCTATTAAAAGTAAAAAAATCACATATGCTTTGATCAGCAGTGGAATTTTTAGGAATTAATACTACAGGTGCATTAGTACCTATGCACACTGGCGTACGCAGGAGTATTCAAACAGCATTGTTTGTAACAGCTAAAGACTAGTGCTATTGATTATCAATAGTATTGGTTAAATAAATAAAGTTACAGCTTTTTATGAGATTATTAAAAAGAATGCAGGTGTTCTTCCTGTACTGGTTGGAAACTTTGCCAAGATATGTTAAATGGAAAAGAGAAAGATGCAGAAGTGTCTATGTGGGATGTTATTATTAGTCTTATGTATGATATATTTCAAAAGATGCAAAAGAAGCTGGTAACAGTGGTTGTCTTCTGAAAGAAAACTGGACCTGTCTTTAAATGCCTCATATTTGTCTCATAGGCTTTTGATATTAATCCCAGGATCTGATGGTCAAATGGCTAAAATCACAGCTCTTACTATGTATTAAAGAGTCATTTTTATAATGAAAAGTAGTACAGGTTTTATTTCTATTCACATCTCTTTTATGTATTTTTGCATGTGGGAAGTCCCAATTTACTTTCCAGTTTTCCACCCAATTAGCAACTTAATTTGAATAGCTTCCAGGTCCTTTCCATCTTGGGCAGAATCCAAGTGGACTCTGAAAGAAATCACTCCCTCCTTGTTTTTTTGTGTATCATTTCAATATTGCCAAGAACACTATCTTGTAAAGTCAGCATGAATGCATCTGTTCTTACATGTTAAACTATCATGGGAAATAGATTGCCCGGGAGAAAACAAGACCACAAATAAGGGAGAGCAAAAGGAAAGAAATATGATGGAAATCCAAAGAGAACAAGAAAAATCAAGGATTAAGTTAGCTGGGATCTGAAGTAAGAAGGATTATGTGTGGACATTAAGAAACTAAAAAAACCATTAAAGTCTAGTTTTAAAATATTACCAAGAGGGGAGCCAAGGGAGATTTAGCACTGCAGGGGGTTGGCTCATTTGCACTTTGTTCTGCATTGCAAGGCATTCATCTTAAAATGGGGTGTGAGCATCCCTTAGAGGGTGCAAATTTATCCACTGGGATACAAGATGGAAAAATTAGAATTTTTAATTTTATATTTTCGGTTCACTTTGTGGATGTTTTATTATGTACATAATACATATTCTTTCAGTAGGATATGTTTAATACATGTGTACATTGAAATATTGGCTTTTCAAACTTTCTTTATTGATAAGGGTACATGATGAAAAAAGGTTTGGAGGTCACTGGACCAGTGCTCCAGGCTGAGAATTAGAGAAAACAGATGGGAAGACATTTGTTTCTTTGGTGTCCAGGATTAGTGGAATGAAGGAAGAGGACTGTAAGAGAATAAGACACTAGACATTTTAGGAAGCTCGGGACAGACTCTAAGCCAGATAAAATTCTCTGGTTTTATTGTAATTTAGTAAACTATACATATTTATGTCCTAAAAAAAAATCCATGTAACAGTAGCTTTTTTTCTACACTAAGCAGCTGAATACCACCCTGGTGGCGATTTGGGATTTAGGCACTGCAGAGAAAAGATCAAAGGGACAGGAGCTATAATTGAAATTTTAGCCCTAAAGGAAAAGTATCTTTAATCTCTAAAAGACCACAAATGAAGTTTGGCAGAAAACAGGGATAAAGTTCTAAGGGTTCTTTGGCATTTTATCATTCATTCGACCAAAAATATTTATGGAGACATATTTACTTCCACCAGGATGGAGTAACTGGTTTACTAGACTTGTCTTTCCACTATAAACAACTGAAAAAATAAGATACATGAAACAACTGTTTTTAGACATTCAATAACAGGCTTTTCAGGACTTTGATCACAGCGAGAAGAGAATAAAATAAGGTTAGCTCATCATCTGAGCTTTCCAGTCTGCAGCATCTGTAAAGGGAAGCCAATCAGTGAACAACAGTTGTAATAACATAAAAAACAGACAGCAGCAATCAGGAATGTTGAGGAAATGTTCTCATTGGTCGAGGCACCTGTAAAATGGTCATATATAAAATGTGTGAATCGTTTGCTTTAACAAATAACAGCATAAATAACAAAACATACATAAATACATATACATACCTGAATATATTGCAATAACAATTTCATTCTTACTCATGTGAATTCTAACATGCTGCTATGGATTGAACATCACCTCCAAAACTCATGGTGCAATTTAACCCCCAATGTTGCAGTATTGAGAGGTGTGGCCTTTAACAGGTGTGGAGGTGTGGCCTTTAACAGGTGATTGGATCATGAGGGCTCAGCCTTCATGAATGGATTAGTCATAGATTAATGGGTTATCCTGGGAAGGGAACTGGTGGCTTTATAAGCAGAGGAAGAACGATCTGAGCTAGCACGTTAGCATACTCAGTACCCTGGCCACGCAATGCCCTGTGCTGCCTCGGGACTCTGTAGAGAGTCCCCACCAACAAGAAGACCTTCACTATATGTGGCCTCTTGCCCTTACACATCTCAGTCTCTGCAAGTGTAAGAAATAAACTTCTTTTCTTTATAAATTACTGAGTTTCAGGTGTTCTGTTATAACCAACAGAAAGGGACTAAGGCACATGCTTTCTGGAATGGAAGATAAAACCATGGGTTATACCCTTAGTTCATGTGTTTGTCATACATGTAAGTGTCATTATATGTGTTGTGAAAAAGGTGTTCTAAAATTTAGATGATTTTTAATTACAATAAGTTATCTTATGAATACATAGTAGCGGTGATGTCTTTAATTAAGTCGTAGGGATCTGCCCTCTGCTTTAACTCTAAAGAGCGTGTTAAAGTCAGACACACATTAGTAATAACAATAGGAATAACACAACTGCGATTTATCAATTTCATTGTGTACCAGGTACTTATTATATAAGGTGGCATTTAATCTTCATGACAACCCTGTAAAGTGCATTAGAATCACTATTCATAGTTGACTTGCCCATGATCATTGTAGAGGATCTGATCCCAAATCTGATTCCAAAGCTTATATACTTATCCGTTACACAATATTGCCTTTCAAATCATAATCAGATGGCTATTTGGGGAACATGGAATCAGAACCAGGAGAGTGAAATGAATCAAATGAGAATTGGTAGATCAGTCAAGATTCAGCACAGGAAGAAACAACCCCAGGTATTTAAGGAGCAATCAAGAAGGAATCATGTGTAGTCCCAGCACTTTGGGAGGCCGAGGCGGGCGGATCACGAGGTCAGGAGATCGAGACCATCCCGGCTAAAACGGTGAAACCCCGTCTCTACTAAAAATACAAAAAATTAGCCGGGCGTGGTAGTGGGCGCCTGTAGTCCCAGCTACTTGGGAGGCTGAGGCAGGAGAATGGCGTGAACCCGGGAGGCGGAGCTTGCAGTGAGCCGAGATCCCGCCACTGCACTCCAGCCTGGGCGACAGAGCGAGACTCCGTCTCAAAAAAAAAAAAAAAAAAAAAAAAAAAAAAAAAAAGAAGGAATCATGATTATGGGAAGGACCAAAGGAGCAGGAGTCAAGGGGCTGCCACTGGACCTACCGTGTCCCAGTGACTAGGAGATCATAAAGCTGGGATAGGAAGTGGTAGCTGCTTCTCCTACTTCCATAACTGCCTCTCAAAACCCATGAAGCTGGACACTAGATGCAAGAACACTGAGTTACCTCTTTCACTTCCTGATACATTCCCACGACTTGCTTCCCAGGAGAAACAATGTCAGAAGGATGACCTCCGCCTCACCAATTTCTCAAGAGTATATCTAATTCAAGGAACCCATTCATGTTTAGAACCCTACCTGCAAGGGGATCTAGGAAATGGAGCTTTCAGCTTTCTAGGACCTGCAGCACAGAAAAGCACATAGAAGGAGTTAGGAATAAATGTCAATCCAATCTAACTAGCATGAATAGTATCAGACTAAGACAGCCTGATGTGCTCATCTCACAGCAAACCTGAGCAGCAATACCAGTACCATCTGTAAGATCTTGCTAAGCTATAAGCTCTACAAGGACAAGAGTCATATGTCTTCTTATCAGTGAAATTCGCAGAGCCTAATATAGGTCCAAAACATAATAAATACCTCTTGAATGAAAAACTACATAAAGATCTTGTGCAGAGTGGCCAAGATGATGTCCTTTGCTGTCAGAAATATCTGGATTCAACTATTAGTAAGTCTCTTCATCTGTGAGCTAGATAAAAATAATTGCTTTCTGAATTTTTGTAAGAATTCAGTAAAATAATGCATGTAAAGCATTTAATGCAATGCTTAGCACACATAGAATTCACTAGTGTTTGTTGCTATTATTAGTTGTCGTTACCAAACTTTGGTGTCACTTCAAACACCAAAACATTTTACATGAGGAAAATGTGCCTTTAAACCACAATTCTTTGAATACTTATGAGCCTGAATATTTTCTGTATTATATTGGCCATTGGGATTTGTGTGTATGTGTGATTTGCTTATTCATTTACCTAGGAAAAAATCTTCTGGACATTGGCCTAGGCAAAAAATTTATGGTGAAAACCCCAACAGCAAATGCAACAAAAACAAAAATAGACAAATGGAACTTCATTAAACTAAAAGGCTTCACACAGCAAAAGAAATAATCAACAGAGTAAATAGACAATGTGTAGAATGGGAGAAAATATTTACAAATTATGCTGCTGACTAATATCCAGAATCTATCTACAAGGAACAATTCAACAAGAAAAAAAAACTAAACTAAAAAAAAAAAATAAACATTAAAAACTGGGCAAAGGACACAGACATTTCTCAAAAGAAGAAATACAGGCAGCCAACAAACACATGAAAAAAATGTTCAACATCACTAATCATCAGACAAATGCAGGCAGCCAAATTAAAACCACAGTGAGATATCATCTTACACTAGTCAAAATGGCTGTTATTAAAAGTCAAAAAACAACAGATGTTAGCGTGCATGTGAAGAAAAGGGAACGCTTGGCTGGGCATGATGGCTCATACCTGTAATCCCAACACTTTGGGAGGTTAAGGCAAGTGGATCACTTGAGGTCAGGAGTTCGAGACCAGCCTGACCAGCATAGTGAAACCCTGTCTCTACTAAAAATACAAAATTAGCCGGGCGTGGTGGCACATGCCTGTAATCCCAGCTACTTGGGAGGCTGAGGCAGGAGAACCACTTGAACCCAGAAGGCAGAGGTTGCAGTGAGCTGAGATTGTGCCATTGCACTCCAGCCTGGGCAACAAGAGTGAACCTCCATCTTAAAAAAAAAAAAGAAAAAAGAAAAGAAAAGGGAATGCTTATACACTTTTAGAGGGAATGTAAATTAGTTCAATCTCTATAGAAAACAGCATGGAGATTTCTCAAAGAACTAAAAAAAGAACTACCATTTGACCTAGCAATCCCCTTACTGAGTATCTACCCAAAGGAAAAGAAATCATTCCATAAGAAAGACTCAGCATTATTCACAATAGCCAAGTCATGGAACCAACCTAAGTGTCCATCAATGCTTGACTAGATTTTTAAAATGTGGTGTATATGCACCATGGAATAATATGCAGCCATAAGAAATAATGAAATCATGTCCTTTGCAGCAACATGGATGGAGCTGGGGAACATTATCCTAAGTAAACTAACTCAGAAACATAAAATTACTGCATGTTTCCACTTATAAATGGGAGCTAAATAAGGAGTACACATGGACATAAAGAGGGAAATAATGGACACTGGGGATGCCAAAAGCGGGAAGGATGGGAGCGGGCAATGGTTGAAAAATTACCTATCAGGTACAGTGCTCACTATTTGGGTAACAGGCACACTAGAAGCCCAATCCCCACGATTACACAATATGCCCATGTAACAAACATGCACATGTACTCCTTGAATCTAAAATAAAGTAAAATTCGTAAAAAAGAATCTTACACAAAACATTAAAAATCTTTAACTCAAAATTTTTTTTAGGCCAGGCACAGTGGCTCACTCACAGTGCCTGTAATCCCAGCACTTTGGGAGGCCAAGGAGGGAAGATTATTTAAGGTCAGGAGTTTGAGAACAGCCTGGGTAATGTAGTGAGACCCTGTCTCTACAAAAAATAAATTTAAAAAAAAATTAGCCAGGCATGGTGGCACATGCCTGTGCTCTCAGCTACTCAGCAGGCCGAAGTGGGAGGAGCACTTGAGCCTGGGAGGTCGAGGCTGCAGTGAGCCGTGATCATGCCACAGCCCTCCAGGCTGGACATTGCAAGACCCTGTTTCAAAAATACCCATTTTTAAAATTAACTTGTTTTCCAGAGTAGAAATGTTAGATAGAATGTCTGTAAAATTTATTCCCAAAACAGGACATTTTCGAGAATAAAAGGGGTCATATAAATAATTAGGCTGAGACAAGAGGCATATAAACCAGGGCTACATTCACCTATTTACTGGAAGCTTTCTCAAATATATAGTGTGACATCATGTTACAAGTCCATTGGAAAGGTGTCTCAGTTGGTGCTATGTGCTAGATATTTGGTCACCATCTGACACCATTGTGTCCCTGATTGCCACTCCCCTGAACCTCCTTAAACTGTGCTTGGAGAAGAGTTACGTGAGACATACAATGGGAAGGGGCATGGGTGTCTAAGATTTCCTTTGGTTTTAGAAAAAAATAGCTATGAGAATACAGAGGAGTTGTTTTCATTTGCTATCTCTGTTAGTGACACCCTTCCAGGTCGGTCTCCCACCCACGGGCAGCTTTGAATGAGATCAATGGCAATTGAAACTGTTTGGATCTGAGCAAAGCTGCTTGGATTTTCACTGGATCTTTCTGCAAATATGATATATGTTTCATTGGTCAACTATCACTTTCTAAATCTTCAATCTTAATTTTTCAAAACTTGTCATAATACAGTTTCCCTCTAATAACAGCCATGTAAGCATGACTTAAACTGGCTTCTACTGCTTAAGCAAACCTCAGTAGAGGAGAAAATAGATGTATTTATTTATTTATTTTGTAATAGAGTCTTGTTCCGTCACCAGGCTGGAGTGCAGTGGCATGATGTCGGCTCACTGCAACCTCCGCCTCCTGGGTTCAAGCAATTCTCCTGCCTCAGCCTCCCAAGTAGCTGGGACTACAGGTGTGTGCCACCATGCCCAGCTAATTTTTTGTATTTTTTGGTAGAGATGGGGTTTCACCATGTTGGTCAGGCGGTCTCGAACTCCCAACCTCAAGTGATCTGCCTGCCTCAGCCTCCCAAAGTGCTGGGATTACAGGCGTGAGCCACTGCGCCCAGGCTTTTTTTTGTTTGTTTGTTTTTTTCTTTGAGAGGGAGTCTCACTTTGTCACCCAGGCTGGAGTGCAGAGGCATGATCTCTGCTCACTGCAACGTCCACCTCCCAGGTTCAAGGGATTCTCCTGCCTCAGCCTCTCAAGTAGCTGAGATTATGGGCGCCCATCACCATGCCCGGCTAATTATTTTTTGTATTTTAGTAGAGATAGGGTTTCACCATGTTGGCCAGGCTGGTCTCAAACTCCTGACCTCAAGTGATCCGCCATCTTGGCCTCCCAAAGTGCTGGGATTGCAGGCATGGGCCACTGTGCCTGGCCGATGAATACATTTTTAACCTCCTCCCTGGTGTGGTGGCTTAAATAATGAAGTTAAAGCTGAGAAACAATAAATGGGACTTTTGACTACTGTGATAGCAAACAGGCATTTCAGAATTGTAGAGGTGAATGAGATTTTAGAATTCATCTAATCCAGCCCATTTACTTTTTTTTTTCTTTTCTTTTCTTTTTTTTCTGAAATGGAGTCTTGCTCTGTCGCTCAGGCTGGAGTGCAGTGGCGAGATCTCAGCTTGCTGCAATCTCTGCCTCCCAGGTTCAAGTGATTCTCCTGCCTCAGCCTCCCAAGTAGCTGGGACTACAGGTGCCGGCCACCATGCCTGGCTAATTTTTTGTATTGTTAGTAGAGACAGGGTTTCACCGTGTTAGCCAGGATGGTCTCGATCTCCTGACCACGTCGTGATTTGCCTGCCTCGGCCTCCCAAAATGCTGGGATTACAGGCATGAGCCACCGCGCCAAGCCCAGCCCATTTACTTCTAAAATGAGGACACCAAGGCTAGTGTGTTAAATGACTTATCTAAGGAGGAACAGGTAGTCAAGGTTAAGCTGAGATAGCTACTCATGTCTGTGACTCCTAGTCCCATGGTCTTTGGACCACGACTCAGAAGCACATTTTGTTATGGTTGTGAGGATGAAGGAAGTAATATTTGACTTTTCTGCAAACATTATGTAAATACAAGGTATTTGTTCCCCTTATGATGTTACAGAACATTAATGAGTGAGATGTTTCCAGACTTATTTCTCATTTTGGTAACTAACCAGTCAGTGCTTATAACAGAAAAACATAAAGTCCGTATTGAAGACACTGAGAAAAAAAGACAAAAATAGTTTTAATCAAAATAGAATTGCTCTACAAAACATAGAATGATTGCTTATTGTTTTGTTTCTTCTCCAATGGAGATATAAATTCACTTGGCCTTGATGGAGGGACAATGATGAGTTGATTGATTCACTTCTACTCTGTCAGAGAGACCAGAAAATTACTAAGGTAACTTGATAAATAGGAAAATTCCAAAATGATCTTCACTGAAGACATTATCCATTTGATCTAAGCTTTTCAGATGCAATCACAATAGTGTCTCCAAGATCCTCTTTCTAAGAGGGAAGCCTGCTTTTCTCATCACATTAGCAAACAGCCAGGCGGATTCGTTGCTTGCCAGTCATGGCTGAATTACAGTCCCGACAACATGGCCTGGGAAAGAACATGCTGGTAGGGGACTGCGGCGGCTATCACCAAGCTCAGAGCAGAAGGGGTGGATGTTGGGGAAAGGGTTCTGCGAGGAGAAAAATTCACTGCAGCAGGAGTGAAGGGAGACACAATTACATATTGAAAGGGGAAAAGCTGTTTGAATTCTACTCTACACCTCAATCACCACCCTCCTACAAGGGATGTCTTTCCCTTGGTCATATTCTCAACAAATGTTTCTCTCCCACAGCCCCCTCCTAATCTGCATGTTCTTCAACAGCTACCTAGGAGTCACTCTCTCTCTGCTCCAAAAATTGGGCGTGGAAAAGGAGCCCAATCAGAAAGAGGAAATGAAGAAAGAGGAAGTGAAGAATAAAACTGCTCAGAGAAAAATAACTTCATAGAATAATATTATCTCCATGAGGACAGGAATCTTTCTTTCATCCATGAATATATCCTAAGCCATTAGAACAGTGCCTGACTGATCAAATAATTCTAATAAATATCTGTTAAATGAATAAGCAAACATCTATGTCCTTAACCCACTAGAATGGTAGGAAATTGTTTCTCCATCATTATTAGCCTCCTTCCCGCTTCTAGGGTTTTACCAAAATTTGATCAACGTGCCCCAGGAAATAATATCTCTAATTTCCAATTGGTTCTGATCATTCTAGCCATCCTTGTTGGCCAAGCCTTCAGTGGTTCTCTGAGACCTCCAGCTGGCACTCAGGGGCTCTCCTGCCTCAAATGAAGCAGAGGAACCTTAGGCAAAGCCAGGAGCCCCAGGCTGGAAGTGTAGCAGGAGGTCGTCCCTTTGAGGCCAGGGAGCAATGCACAGCTCCTCTGGCAAACCAGGGCCATAGCCAGGGCTCCCTTGCCCAGGTTTGGGGCAGGGGCACTCTCTTTAAGCTGGAGAATCCTACCTCTTTCTCTTCTCTAAGCTTATTTCCTTAAACTTCATCCTATCTTAGGCTTTTGACTTTTGGAAACAAAAGTTACAAAGAGTTCCAGGATGACTCTGTATTCCTCCCCGACTTGTACTTTCCCCAAGGCACTGACACACAGAACTTGCTACAAATGGACAGTTAAAATGAAGAGAGGAAAATGAAAGATTTTTTATTTCTTTGTTTTTTTGAGACGGAGTCTCACTCTGTCACCCAGGCTGGAGTGCAATGGCGTGGTCTCAGCTCACTGCAACCTCTGCCTTCCGGGTTCAAGCGACTCTCCCGCCTCAGCCTCCTGAGTAGATGGGACTACAGGCGTGTGCCACCACACCTGGCTAATTTTTGTATTTTTGGAAGAGACGGGTTTTCACTATGTTGGCCAGGCTGGTCTCGAACTCCTGACCTCGTGATCTGCCCACCTCGGCCTCCCAAAGTGCTGGGATTACAGGCGTGAGCCACCGCACCCGGCCTGGAAAATGAAAGATTTTTAAACCCATAAATATCTCAAAACATTATCCAGCCATATGGTATGGGACCAGGTGCATAAAGTTAAGGCAATGCTGAGACCTCCAGGTTATTCCACTGGCTACAACAGCAGCCTAAAAGAAAGAAAGAAAGAAACTTGGGGTATCCTTCTCTAAACTCTAATATAGAAAGGAAATGCATATCTAGTAACATGTTTCTTTGTCTAATTATCCTCCTACAATCAGCATCTTAAAATAAGCTAATCTCTTATAAAAAATTTTTGGATGTTAATATGACCATCAGCTCAAAAAGCATTAAAGCCACTTCAATCAAGGGACACAGACTAGGTTTCAAGACACTTAGCTCACATAAATTTCTATAAATTTTAATAGAACTTAATGGTCTTTCCATTTTTTTGTGTGGGAAGGGTAAGCATTATTGATTTTACATTTTAATACATTTTAGGGGCATGATGAACCTGGACAGTAAAAGCATCCTTCCTTCGCCCTACCTAATGCAGAGGAGCTTCCTGAAAGAAATTAGTTTGGAATGAAAGGGGAGCAACTGCCTTGCAGGTAAGGATGGGCAGAGTGGGAGGATCTTTAGGACTTTAGATGTAGGTTTCAAGAAAAACAGCAACATGAAAGTCATGTGTGAGAAGATGTAATTATGAGGCAGATTGAGTTATAAATTATTATACAAAGACAACAAAGACATGAAATCAATCTTTAGAAATGATTCTTCCCAAGTAATAGGAGATAGGAATGTCATGGAAATACTTCAACTGGAAGAAAAGCCATGGAAATACTTCAACTGGAAGAAAAGCCATGGCCTTTCTGCAATAACCTACAATTTCTTTTTCTTTTCTTTCTTTTTTTTTTTTTTGAGATGTTGTCTCACTCTGTTGCCCAGGCTGGAGTGCAGTGGTGCTATGTCGGCTCACTGCAACCTCCGCCTCCCAGGTTTAAGTGATTCTCCTGCCTCAGCCTCCTGAGTAGCTGGGATTACAGACGCCCGCCACCACGTCTGGCTAATTTTTGTATTTTTGGTTGAGACGGGAGTTTCACCATGTTTGTCAGGCTGGTCTCAAACTCCTGACCTCAGGTGATCTGCCCGCCTCAGCCTCCCAAAGTGCTGGGATTACAAGCGTGAGCCACCATGCCCGGCCGTAACCGGGCATGGTTACGTAGGTTTACAATTATAGGTTTACAATTTCTATTTCTTGTTCCTATCCACTCCCTTTTGCATCTGATGTCACCAATAATCTTCTCCAAGGAAAAAAAAACAGAAAACACAAATAAGAATTATATTTTATAGTGATTATAATGATCAGAATTCCTCAGACTTCTTTCTGCTGTCATTTTGCTGTGATGTTCGAGCAGCTCATATTTCAGCCCTAATCAGATCTCTGCTGTAATCTGAATATATATTTAATACAATGCTAGAGATAGAGAAATTTTCAAAGTTAAGTAGAGATCAGTTAAAATACCATTACTGTTTACTCTGTGTCTTTTGAATTCTATTATATTTATATTTGTTTACATTTTGAAAACCAAGCCATTTAAAACAGGGATCCCTTCAAAGAGAACATTTATGTGGCATTTTGTTGCAGGAAAAGGTAACTGTAAAACACATGTGCCTCTAATTCAAGGCCAGTTAACCTCAAGTTATTACAGTTGAGATAAATCATATTTTTAAAAATACTTTTTAACCCTTGTTCACTCACTTTTTAAGCCAATAAAAACAGCAAGAATTAACTTGGTCACTTTTTTGTAACCCAAATGCAAACCATGGGTGCAATCCCATAAAATTTTAGCCACGGATATAATTCCAAAGGTTTGAAAGTCCCATCTTCTTTATTGCTCCTGTCTTTGGGACAAAGCCCAATTTCCCCTATAATACCAACACAAATTATAAAAAGAGAGTAATTGATCTCACTGTATTTTCCAAACTTGTTGCTTGTTACTGTCATTAAGCTACTGTCAAGTCTCATCTAGCACCTCCTGTGACACCACCTTCTTTTTTTTTTTTTTTTTTTGAGACGGAGTTTGGCTTTCGTTGCCCAGGCTGGAGTGCAATGGCATGATCTCGGCTCACTGCAACCTCCACCTCGTGGGTGCAAGCAATGCTCCTGCCTCAGCCTCCCAAGTAGCTGGGATTACAGGCATGCGCCACCATGCCCGGCTAATTTTGTATTTTTATTAGAGATGGGGTTTCTCCATGTTGGTCAGGCTGGTCTCAAACTCCCAACCTCAAGTGATCCGCTCACCTCAGCCTCCCAAAGTGCTGGGATTACAGGCGTGAGCCACCGCACCCGGCCCGACACCACCTTCTATATCAGACTTTGCTGCCTCTTCATGAGATGCAACTAAACTTAAGAGACAAAGCAGAGCTCAAATCTATTTTTAAAAGACTTTATAATAAATTGTAATCCCAGGTAGAAATTTTCTATTTCTCATTATCCACAAAATTCTTCTCCATTAAGCACAGGTCATCAAGTAACCCTGACATCAAGTAACCCTGGCATACTGTTGTAACAAGTAGGATTTTCAAATTACTAACACACCTGTAAAAGCCAGAGAGTTGTGTGTCACCAGAAACACATGTGTGCCCTATGTATTAAGGTACTAAATAGAAAGCACCATTTGCTGTGTGTGTGACAGTACTGATTCCATGTTAGAAGAAAGCTTGCTTACTTGAATACAATTATTACTTTGCTTGATTTTGTAGATCATTCACTAAAATCAGCCTCAGAAAAACAGGATCTTGAACAGAGATAAAAGAAAATACCTAGATCAGCCTCTCTGTGAATGGGCTGACCGACCTAATAAGAATAGGCTGATGGTACCTGCAGAAAGCCACAAAATATTGACCAAGAAAGCAATGATTTACTGCCGACCTGAGACTGCACACGTTTCACAAAAATCTTTTTATCATCCTTTCTCTTAATTGCCCTTAAAAACCAGAGGTGGTCTTTGAACGCTAGCTCACTGCATCCCCCAGGGTTGCTGGTCTCTTGAATAAAGCTAACTTTACTTTCACTACAGCTCTTCTCTTGGGTTTTTGGCTTTCAAGTGACAAGTGGCCCAGATGTGAGTTTCCTTACGTGTGCTCAGGAGAATTTCCTGCCATACCTACTGAAATCTGTCCCTGATCAAAGTGGTGGACCATATGACTGCAGATTGGCCTTGCGAAGTAGCTCATGCCTGTAATCCCAACACTTTGGGAGGCAGAGGTGGGAAGCTTGCTTGAGGCCAGGAGTTTAGGACCACCCTGGGCAATACAGTGAGACCCCCGTCTCTACAAAAACAAAAAATAAAAATTAGCCAGGCATGGTAGTCCACACCTGTAGCTCCAGCTACTTGGGAGGCTGAGGCAGGAAGATCGCTGGAGCCTAGGAGTTCAAGGCTGCAGTGAACCATGATCCTGCCACGGCACTCCAGTGTGGACAACAGAGTGACACTTAAAAAAAAAAAAAACACTGAAGATCAACAGGTTATGATTGCAAATTTTAAGATATTTTGAACACACTATTTTCTTAAGCAGTTGGGAGTATGTTTAATAGCCTATTGAATGAGTATCTCAAAATCCTATTGAAGTTACTATTTGGCAATGAGAAACTAATTCACTGATAATTATACATGCAAAGAAACTAATTATTAAAATAAGTTTTCATTTTGTTAGATAACTTTATAACGTTAAAAAATGGAAAAGTCCTGTAGGGAATGATTTGGAACATGGCCCAGATCCCAGTCACAGGACCAAGGCACTCAATCCCCCAGCTGCTGGGAGTGTTGGTTGCTTATTGCTCACAGCTGAGTCCCTTCCTGCACATCTCACTCTCCAAAAGCCTTAACCCAGCGTTTTGCTTCCTCCCCAGAAACATCCCACATTTAATGAGCAGTCAGTAAGAGGGTCTAAAGGTCTGCCCCCTGGCCTCAATTCAGGATGACTCTGAAAGGAAATCCCGGCTCCAGAGCCCTTACTGGATTGCCTGAGGCCTCTATTACAAATTGTTCACAGTTCAACTTCTTTCTCCCTCCGCCCAACCCGGCCTCCCTCACTCCATTATAGGTGTTGTTCTTAAGAGCACACTCCAATTACCCTCCTGCAAACCAGTCTCCCCCCCAACTCAGAGTCCAGGGAATTCTACCTAAGACGATTTTGAAAGCGGTCCTAGAAATCAGGCTCTAACATGGGATTTTGAAGCTAGATCACCTGCCAGCCAGCTGCCAATAAGAACCTCATCCCTGGTCAGTATTCAGAGCACCTGTCACGCTGCACGATGTGATTACTAACTTGAATCCACTCATGCTAAGCTGTGTCCCAACCTAGTTAACTGTATTTAAAATAAATAAACCACAGGACTTGATGCATGTACTTTATTGCACTGAGTTTTTCTTGCTATACCTTGGACAAGACTGCCACCTCCTGGAAGAGCCGATGAATACTGGGGACGAGGTGCAATTAGGGAATCGGTACTATGAAATTGCTTGCGTCTCAGCAGCAACTCCCTATCTCTCCGCGAACTTAAACCAATTCCTAACCTTTCTCAACCTCTGTGAACAGCTTTTTGCATGGAACCAAGACTTCAAAGAACTTGCGCATCACAATCTTTTTACGTGAAAATGTAAATACAAGTTAGCATTTGTGAAGCGTTATGTGCCAAATGCTTTAATTTTTAAGGCTCACAACAGCCTTATGAGGTAGGAACTATCATAAGCAGATCCACACTGCTGATGGAAAAATTAAGTTTAAGGGAACGTAAGGCGACGGCTCTGAGGCGGAATCGCCACTTGGAGTCGGGACTCAACTGCTGAGAGCGCAAGCTCCGTAACTACGTAACCGTCTCGGGCATGCGCAGAAAAACACTGAAGCACCTTCCCTAGGAGCTGTAAGTAGGTGGGTGTGGTGGGAGCCTCTGCAATCCCAGCATTCCCTTCGTGCCGCTACCAAGATGGCGGCGCCCATCTTGCGGTCCTTTTCCTGGGGCCGGTGGTCTGGTACCCTAAATCTCTCAGTATTGTTGCCCTTGGGGCTGCGTAAGGCCCACTCGGGCGCTCAGGGGTTACTGGCAGCGCAGAAGGCTCGAGGTCTGTTCAAGGACTTCTTCCCGGAGACGGGGACGAAAATAGAGCTCCCAGAGCTCTTCGACCGTGGCACGGCGAGTTTTCCCCAAACCATTTACTGTGGCTTCGACCCCACGGCAGACTCGCTTCATGTGGGTCATCTACTTGCGCTGCTGGGCCTGTTTCATTTGCAGCGAGCGGGCCACAACGTGATCGCGCTGGTGGGAGGCGCCACGGCGCGCCTGGGAGACCCGAGCGGCCGTACCAAGGAACGCGAGGCGCTGGAGACAGAGCGCGTGCGAGCCAACGCGCGAGCTCTGCGCCTAGGGCTTGAGGCCCTGGCGGCTAATCACCAGCAGCTTTTCACTGATGGGCGCTCCTGGGGCAGCTTCACTGTGCTGGACAACTCGGCCTGGTACCAGAAGCAGCACCTGGTGGACTTCCTGGCGGCAGTGGGGGGTCACTTCCGCATGGGGACGCTGCTGAGCCGGCAGAGCGTGCAGCTGCGGCTCAAGAGCCCCGAGGGCATGAGCTTGGCCGAGTTCTTTTACCAGGTGCTCCAGGCCTATGACTTCTATTACCTCTTCCAGCGTTATGGATGCAGGGTCCAGCTGGGCGGATCTGATCAACTAGGCAACATCATGTCCGGATATGAGTTCATCAACAAGTAAGTGCCTTTAAACCTTGGGGAAATCCTGGGACCAAATAATTTACACACTAGTAGCCTGTGATTCACTCTTAGGATTGTAGTTGCTGCCCTTCGTTCCAGCTCTTGTTGGTTTTATCCCCATTAAGGCTCTATAATGGCGTTAATAACACTGGCTAATAAGAATTAAAGGGCTGAATTAAGGGTATTAAGAGTAAACGGTGTATTCTAAAAATTAGCTGGGCGTGGTGATGCACGCCTGTAATCCCAGCTATTCGGGAGGCTGAGGCAGGAGAATCTCTTGAACCCGGGAGGCGAAGGTTTCAGTGAGCCGAGATCGCGCCACTGCACTCCAGCCTGGGGCAACAGAGGGAGACTCCGTCTCAAAAAAAAAAAAAAAAAAAAGGGAAACAGACCACTAGTGAAGATTTGGTCGGTCTGTTTTGCTTCGCCTAAGTCGTCCTCTCTAATTAGAGAAACTGCTTTTGTGTGTTTATACCAGAACGTGACTGGGCCTCCTTGAGTAGCTAGCCTCTGCTTTAGCTCTGCACCCTCCATGAAACTAGTGTTAGTCCTTGGTTGGTATCTCAAAAAGTTTTTTCAACTCCAAATAATTGACAAGTAATGCGGGTCTAATAGCATTTTCTTGAGAGAGGTGAAGGATAGGGCTAGCTCATGTGCAACAGAGCAAAGCACATGTTTAAAAGGCGTTTAGAAGATTTCCTTTAGTGTCTCTTCCTGACACCCCTTCACCCAGTTTTCTCCTTCCCACTCAGCCTTTCAAAATCTCTAGTCCATTGTTATGTAGCACTTCCCCTTGGCCTGCCTAGAACCTGCCTGGAACCACTCATGAGGTTCAGAATGAATAGAGTAAGTACTGTAACAATACATAAGAGGAACAAGAATTCAGATTTAGGAGGTCAAGGAAGTTTTCCTGGAGCAAGTAACCAGAAAGAAATCTGGAAGGTGAACAGTAGAACCTACCACCACTTGTGCTTGAGGCACATAATGAAATTGTTCTTTATGCGTAGGTTGACTGGAGAAGATGTATTTGGAATCACCGTTCCTCTAATTACAAGTACAACTGGAGCAAAGCTGGGAAAGTCTGCTGGCAACGCTGTTTGGCTAAACAGAGATAAGACATCTCCATTTGAATTGTATCAATTCTTTGTCAGGCAACCGGACGATTCAGTGGAAAGGTGAGTTCTGAATAATGGGCTGAGAAAAACTGACACCATAAACTCATGATGTAATTTTAGCCATTGAATCTATGTACATTTTATAGTTTTTTTGTTTTTAACGTAGTTTCTGTCTGTACATAAACCATTACATCATAGAAGACTAATTTTTACTGTGTTCTAAAGTTAAACACTTTGTTGGTTAAAGCAGAAAAACAGTGGGTGGCTAGAAAATGTAGAGCCAACTTTTTGATCTGTATCTAGCAAGTTCTTAGGATTTTATCACCTGCATATTCTAGTTTTTTCACTCCTTTCAACTTAACCTTGACTACCCTTATTTTTCCTTTGTCTCTCTTCTCTCACAAATATGACTTTAAAGATCCTCTTAAGAAATGATTTCTCCTTAAATCAAATTGCCTTAAACTCTTGGAAGAATATGAATTAATGAGAAACAAATATACCTGCAACAAAAAGTGAAAAAAATATTTTGATGCTCTGTAACATCAAAGTAATCTAGGAATAATTCTTTAAGACTTAAAAGGTATATGACTTTCCTGCAAAATATTAAAAGATGCTATTGAGCAAAATAAAGACCTACATAAATGGAGAGTTAGACCATATTCATAGTACAAAAATAATATCAGTTCTTTTTTGTATTTTTTGAAACAGAATCTCACTCCCATTGCCCAGGCTAGAGTGTAGTGACGCAGTCTTGGCTCACTGTAGCCTGAAATTCCCAGGCTCAGGTGCACACCACCATGCCCAGCTAATTTTGTATTTTTTTTTTAGTAATGGTGGAGTTTCACCTTGTTCCCCAGGCTGGTCTCAGACTCCTGGACTCAAGCGATAAACCTGCCTCAGACTCCCAAAGTGCTGGGATTACAGCATGAGCCCCCGCACCCGGCCAAGATACCAGTTCTGGATTTGATCTACATTTAGTACAGTGCCAACCATATCTAAACCGGCTTTTTGTGGAACTTGACAAGCTCATTGTAACACTGACATAGAAATAAAAAGGGCTAAGATTGGCCAAGATGTTTTTGAAGAACAGAGTGGAAGATTATCATGCCTTATTACAAAATTTTGGTAATTGTGTTTTTTTCTCTTTAGATTTAGTCCTAGAATGTTTGACGATATAGTCCTGGGGTTTTGATGTATTGAGAATTGATAATCTTTTTTTTTTTTTTTTTTTTTTTTTGAGGCAGTGTCTCACTTTGTTGCCCAGGCTAGAGTGTAGTGGCATGATCTTGGCTCATTGCAACCTCCGCCTCCTGGGTTCAAGTGATTCTCCTGAGTAGCTAGGACTACAGGCATGCGCCACCATGCCCAGCTAATTTTTGTATTTTTGTAGAGGCAGGGTTTCGCCATGTTGGCCAGGCTGGTCTCGAACTCCTGACCTCAAGTGATCCACCTTCCTCAGCCTCCCAAAGTGCTGGGATTACAGGCTTGAGCTACCGCACCCGGCCTAGAGAATTTAGATAATCTTTTCAAAAATTGCATTTTCTATCTGGTTCTGGTGTATAGAAATACAATTACTTTATATATATTACCTTTAAATCTAGCAACTCTGCCAAACTCACTATTTGATTACAGACGTGAGCCACTGCGCCCGGCCCAATACTGTATTTCTTGACCATGGTGATGGTTACATAGATGTTTTATGATTCATTAAGCTATATCTTTGTGAATAATGTACTTTTTTCTGTGTGTTATATATATTTCACCAAAGAAAAAGAGAATACATATAGGATGATATTATAGTCATATATCACTTAACAATAGGGATACATTCTGGGAAGTGTGTTGTTAGGTGATTTCATCATTGCAAATATCGTAGAGTGTCCCTGCACAAACATAGATAGCATAGCCTACTACACACTTAGGCTATACAGTGTACCCTGTTGCTCCCAGGGTAGAAGCACATACAGCACATTACTGTACTAAATACTGAAGGCAGTGATAACGCGAGGGTAAGTATTTGTATACGTAAACATAGAAAAAGTACAGTAAACTATGGTATTATAATGTTATGAACCACTGTTGGACTGTACCAGTCCGTGGCCTGTTAGGAACAGGGCTGCGCAACAGGAGCTGAGTGGCAGGCGAGCGAGCATTACACCTGGGCTCCATCTCCTGTCAGATCCACGGTTGCATTAGATTCTCATAGGAGCACAAACCCTATTGTGAACTGCGCATGCAAGAGATCTAGGTTGCGCATTCCTTTTGAGGATCCAACAAATGCCTGATGATCTGAAGTGGAACAGTTTCATTCTGAAACCACCTCCCCTCCCCGCCGCCTCGTGGTGCCAAAAAGGTTGGGGACCGCGGATATATGTAGTCCATCATTGACAGAAACATCATTATGCAGAGCATGATGATTTATATCAGTTTTTAAAATTACACAGTACTTTTTTTTTATGGCCACATGCACATGAAAGTATAAAAACATGCTTGGGAAAGATGGCAGCACATAAACTTAGATTTATGATTATCTCGGGGCAAGGAAGGGAATGTGATTGGACTGCGGCCTTCATCTATGCCTATTTTGTTCCTTTTAAAAAGAAAATACGAGGCTGGGCTTGGTGGCTCCTGCCCATAATCCCAACACTTTGGGAGGCTGAGACAAGAGGATCACTTGAGCCCAGGAGTTTGAGACCAGCCTGGGCAACACAGGAGACCCCGTCTTTACAAAAAAAATATAAAAATTAGCCAGGCGTGGTGGCACAAGCCTGTGGTCCCGGCTGCTTGGGAGGCAGAGGTGGTAGAATTGCTTGAGCCCAGGAGGTTGAGGTTACAGTGAGCCATGATCATGCCACTGCACTCCAGCCTGGGCAACAGCAAGACCCCCATCTCAAAAAAAAAAAAAAGAAATTGAAAACAAAGATGCCAAAATAGTAACACCTTAAATCTGGGTGATGTGTGCATGGGACCTACTATGTTCAGTACATTTCTGTATGTTTGTTTCATATTTAAAAGTAAGCAGGATAACCTTAAAGGGTAGAAGAGCTGGAGATAAAAATTAGGTATGTTATATAAGTGTAACTCTTTATTTTTTGTCTCAAAGGTACCTGAAGCTGTTCACTTTCCTGCCCCTTCCAGAGATTGATCATATCATGCAGCTGCATGTCAAAGAGCCAGAAAGGCGGGGTCCTCAGAAACGACTGGCAGCAGAAGTAACAAAGCTTGTTCATGGACGAGAAGGATTGGATTCTGCTAAAAGGTAGTAGTTTAGTATGATTAACACTTGATAGTTAGTTATTCAGTGGATAGACATGAGAAAAGTAGGAGTATGTTTTAGGATTATCTTGTCATTTATCACAAGGACTGTCAGTATTTGACTTAGCAATTTAAAATAGCCCCTGTTTATTGGAAAGAAGGATTATCTTGAATTAAGTTTATGAATTATACCAGATAGATGTTTAAAAAACTTTTAGTCTATGCCGGGCGCGGTGGCTCACGCCTGTAATCCCAGCACTTTGGGAGGCCAAGGTGGGCTGATCACGAGGTCAGGAGTTCGAGACCAGCCTGACCAACATGGTGAAACCCCCATCTCTACTAAAAATACAAAACTTAGCTGGGCGTGGTGGCACACGTCTGTAATCCCAGCTACTCAGGAGGCTGAGGCAGGAGAATCGCCTGAACCCGGGAGGCAGAGGTTGCTGTGAGCCGAGATCATGCCATTGCAATCCAGCCGGGGCAACAGAGCGAGACTCCATCTCAAAAAAAAACTTTTAGTCTAGAACTTGGACACTCTATAATTGGTTAATGGGTATTAGAACATGTATTTGAATAAACATTTATATGATGTAGCTCTTAAAATGTGTTTTTCAGGTGTACACAAGCCCTTTATCACAGTAGCATAGATGCACTGGAGGTCATGTCTGATCAGGAGTTAAAAGAGTTGTTTAAAGAAGCTCCATTTTCTGAATTTTTTCTCGATCCTGGAACAAGTGTCCTAGATACTTGCCGCAAAGCAAATGCCATTCCAGATGGTCCCCGAGGGTAAGATTATTTAACTTTTAGATTTACAGTTAATTCACCATTAAATGTTACAGTTCACAAGGCCAGGAGAAGTGGCTCATGCCTGTAATCACAGCACATTGGGAGGCCGAGGCGGGCAGATCACGAGGTCAGGAGATCGAGACCATCCTGGCTAACACGGTGAAACCCTGTCTCTACTAAAAATACAAATTAGCCGGGCATGGTGGCAGGCGCCTGTAGTCCCAGCTACTTGGGAGGCTGAGGCAGGAGAATGGCATCAACCCGGGAGGCAGAGCTTGCAGTGAGCGGAGATCCCACCACTGCACTCCAGCCTGGGTGACAGAGCAAGACTCTGTCTCAAAAAATAAATAAAATGTTACAGTTCACAGCATGTGTTTCCAGAGAGGATGTTTTCCTGATAGTGCTTTAGTGGCATCTCTTCCTTAGAAAAGTTAGTTTAGTCCAAGAATAAAGTATAGCCTGAGAGTACTTATTGTTGAAAATACTTTATATTTTCTATAATAGTACAGTACTCCTATACTGTCTCTTATTATATCTAACCCAGTCAGTCTTTCCTCCAACACTGGAAAAGTGCATTTGAGGGACATGTTCAGTAAATACACTGGCATCAGTGTACGGCTTAGGGATATGGTCACAGTTTTAGAGGGATGCAGAAACAGAGGCCCTATGTAACAGATTAACACAGCCCCTCTCATAGTCTGTATCCTTTTTATATTCGGGGATGGGAAAGGTTACCTAACCTATCTATAGTATTAACTGAATTTCTGAAAATGAAATGAGCATATAATGGCCAAAACCGCAAGTACTTTTGCACTAACCTACTAACGTCATAAGACTATTATTGTAAACTATATAATAATCCCCTTGAGAATTGCATTTTCTATTCAGGAATTGAGTAGAATATTTTAATTAATCAGTTATGAGGTATTAAGGAGTAAATAAGGTTTTTCACAAAAAATAATTCAGCATATAATTGATGCTTATCCATTTTTAAATGAACAGTGAGGTGGAAGGAAAAGTGTTGGGTAGCCAGAAGACCCCCAGGTGCCTCTTTTGCAGGAGTTCACACAGAAGTCAAATGGTTATCGGCCATATCATGGCCATGATTATGAATGACATTTGTTATAGTTGTTCTCTTTCAACTGTCTTGGATTGTTTGCCTGTGTCCTAAAGAGTCCTAGACTATTCTGCCTGGAAAAAGCACCCATTGTCTCCCTTTGCATCACCTGCCACTCCACCTTAGTGATTCCCTCATCTGCTGGTTTAACACACAGTGAATTTGAGGCTGGTGTCATATACTTCCCTGTAGTATGTCAGCGAGACAAATAATTTTCCTCACTATGGAAGCAGATTTCGTTTTCTTCTGAACTTTACTATAGTGTGTTCGCTAATACTGGAAGCTTTACCACTACTAAAAATGACACCACATCTGATTTAGCCAGGGCTCTAAGTAATACTGATTTTTTTTTTTAATATTATATAAGCTAAATAGGTTTGGTGCATTTAAATTAAACATAGAACATGATCTGGAAACTAGCAGACAGCGTAAAATAATACTTCCTAAAAGAAAGGAATCTGGCCTTAAGTAGAAAATATTTTACTGATGAGTTTTATAAAACCATGTCCATGGCCAGGTATGGTGGCTCACATTTGTAATCCCAGCACTTCGGGAGGCTGAGGGCGGGAGGATTGCTTGGGGCCAGGAGTTCAAGATCTGTGTGGGCAAGGACGTAGTGAGACTCCGTCTCTACCCAAAAATAAAGGTATAAAAATATCTTTAAAACCATGTCCAGTAGTGGTTTCTTAATTTTATTTGGTAACATTCAGATGAGAGAAAACCACCATTTTTCTTTCTTAAGGACTTCCAAGATCTAGCCACGCTGTAGCCCTGTCTTCTCAGATCTCACCTCTTTCTAGCTGCTCCCATGTTTCCTGCCCTGATTGTCAAGGTAGCTTCACTCCCAGTTTAAGTATCTCTTTTTTCAGTGAAATGTTCAGCCCTCACCTACCCAGTGTGCTCCTAGAACAACTTCTCCTAGGTCTTTCTTTTTTTTTCTTGAGACGGAGTCTTTAAAAGAGCAGATTGCAAGGCGTAAATTCCGGCCAGACACAGTGGTTCACACCTGTAATCCCAGCACTTTGGGAGGCCAAGGCAGGTGGATCACTTGAGGTTGGGAGTTTGAGACCAGCCTGGCTAACATGGCGAAACCCATCTCTAC
This sequence comes from Homo sapiens, assembly GCF_000001405.40. Lineage (NCBI taxonomy): Eukaryota > Metazoa > Chordata > Mammalia > Primates > Hominidae > Homo > Homo sapiens. The sequence continues at coordinate 32,747,717 of NC_000012.12, read as the reverse complement.
TAAAAATACAAAATTAGCCAGGTGTGGTGGCATGCACCTGTAATCGCAGCTACTCTGGAGGCTGAGGCAGGAGAATCACTTAGAACACAGGAGGCGGAGGTTGCAGTGAGCTGAGATCATGCCAGCCTGGGCTACAGAGCAAGAATGTGTTTCAAAAACAAACAACAAAAAACAAAGAGCAGTAAAGAGAGGCAGAATCTATTAATAATAGAGCAAACATGAAGGTAACAGTCCAGTGCCAAATGAAATCTTCTCAATTGGAGAGCCTCTGAAATCTAAGTGAAACAGTCTTTTTTGGGGGACAGATCAACAGTGATTGGATCTCTCTACTTACTAAACGTTTCTATTTTTTAGGTATCGAATGATAACAGAAGGCGGAGTCAGCATAAATCACCAACAAGTAACAAATCCTGAGAGTGTTTTAATTGTTGGACAACATATTCTCAAGAATGGACTTTCCTTACTTAAAATAGGAAAAAGAAATTTCTACATTATAAAATGGCTTCAGTTGTGATGAAAAGTCCTTCTGGTTGTCCAAATAAACTTACCCATCATTCATTCTCAAGACCTCTGAAGGGTTGGCTCCAGAACTTAGACCTTTGCTTATGCAAATCAGAAAAACAGAATGGACTAGGACTCAGTGTGAGTAACTTCATTATTTTTATGGGCCGGTTAATAAATATTTGTTTAATAATGGGATGTTTTATTTTCTGATGTACAAAGCTTGATTACCATAGAAAACCATGATTTTCAGGGTTAATCTCTTTTTAAAATTATACTTCAGAAGAGAAAGAAATGCTGCTTTCCTATCTTACCCTTCCTGCTCTCCTTTTTGTAGTGATGAGGAACAATGAAAAAGAGGTAGTGTAAGGAATTGTGAGGCTGGGCATGGTGGCTCACACCTGTAATCCCAGCACTTCGGGAGGCCAAGGTGGGCAAATCGCTTGAGGCCAGGAGTTTGAGACCAGCCTGGCCAACAGGGCGAAACCCCGTCTCTACTGAAAATATAAAAATTAGCCAGATGTGGTTGCAGGCACCTGTAACCCCAGCTACTCAAGAGGCTGAGCTGCGAGAATCACTTGAACCCAGGAGATGGAGGTTGCAGTGAGCTGAGATCACGCCACTGCACTCCAGCCTGGGAGACAGCATGAGTAGTGAGTGAAACTCTGTCTCAAAAAAAAAAAAAAAAAAAAGGAATTGTAGCTGCTTTTCTATCAGGTATGGAGCACCGATGTCACTAATGTTATATAGTTGTTTATAAAATCATCAGGGCCTCTAGTGTCCACATTAGAAATGGGAAAACTAGTATTAGAAACTTTGAATAGAAATTTGATTTTTTTGTAGTTCAGAGAGCAAATGTAGTTCTTAAAAAGGAGAAAAAGTTAGATGAGGCCATGGTTGCTTTGAGAAATTACAGTAAGTAGTTTCTTTACAAATAATAGTACAAAAATCAGTACGTGACTTTTCAGAAAGTTTCTAATTCAGTTTTCTGGTTCCTTGCCTGTGTTCCAGTATAATTCTGTTCACATTAAGCCTTGTTGTCAGTGGATTCCTAAGGTAGCAATGTTTTATAAATTTAGAAACTTAAATTGGTTTTAAGTTTCAGCTTTTCCCCCCAAGCAGATTGCAACTTGAGGTAAATTAAAAAGTTAACCCCCCAAAAATAAAGCCAATTATACCAAATATGCAATCATATGAGAATATCAAAAAGTATCCAGGTAAGGAAAGTTTTCAGGTCAAACTTAAAGGATTTGGAATCAAGACTGAGTTCAGCTCTTCAAACATGAGGCAAATTAATTCTCCAGAACTATTTCCATATCTGAAAAATCAAGGCAATGGCATCCCTGTTGCCTTGAGGATCAAGTGAATCACATACGAAATGATTAATCAGATTTCTTTTGAAAACCTTACAGGCAGCAGAGCATGGCTTTAGTGTTCAAATTCTAGCCATTTACTACCTGGATTACTTGGAGCAAGTCACTGTCTTCATACGCAAAAATGGAGATGTTATAATACCTTGGTGAACTGTCAGAATCTGGTAGGAAAAAAGTCGTAAAATTTTTCGTACTCTATACGGTTATGTTCCAAAGTAGATTAGGTATTAAAAAGCTCCTTTTGTCTCCCTTTCTCTGGGAGAAAAGTTAAGAATTCATTTTTTGACAAACTTTAGTGTCATTTCATACCAGCAATTTTATTTACACAATAAGAACATACAGGTATCGTCAGAGATCATCTCTACATTTCAGATCTTGACTCAGTTTAAGGGCCAACAAAGGAAGGCTTTTCTCTTTCCGTTGTTTCTTGCCTCTGTTTTTTGTTGTACAAAGTGTGTAGTACTAGCAAGTGCATTACCATAGCATGTCTTTAATTTTCAATTTGAAATCTGATGTGCTGGAGAAAAGTGCATCGTAAGTTTTTGTTTTTGTTTTTTTTCCCCTTACAAATTCAAAGGACTAGAATAATGATAGTCATCTGGAAAAAGTAAATCATGAATGGCTATAATTTTGAAACTGATGCTTAATGATGGCAGTGATTTTTAAGTGTGGTAACAAACGTTTTGGGAGCATGTATCCTCTGTCAAGATGGTACTAGTAACAGATTCAAAGTAGTACCATATCGTATCAGACTGATGTGGGGGTTTTTATGTTTGACATCAGTTGGTGAGCCTGTTGTTCCTTAGTAAATTGATGCCATAAGCTAAAGTTAACATATTCATATTTTCCCTGCCAATAGTCCTTCATAAATACCTGGTCATAAACTGAAAAAAAAGTAATATCTGCAATATAAATGTGTTGTCTATTAGAGACGGGGCTAGATGTCTTAAGGATTTCTAAGTACATCTTAAAATTTATAATATAGTCGTTCATACCAAGAATCATCTGGGGAATTTTAACAAAATATGTATATGTTCTAAACCTCATCACTACCCCATAAATGCAGCTTAGGTCTGTAAGTCTGAAGGAGTATGTGTATCTATCTGGGTGTTGTTTTATTTTTTTTTTTTGAGACGGAGTTTCGCTCTTGTTGCCAAGGCTGGAGTGCAATGGCACGATCTTAGCTCACCACAACCTCCACCTCCCAGGGTCAAGCAATTCTCCTGCCTCACCCTCCCGAGTAGCTGGGATTACAGGCATGCGCCACCACGCCCGGCCAATTTTGTATTTTTAGTAGAGACGGGGTTTCTCCATGTTGGTCAAGCTGGTCTCCAACTCCCAACCTCAGGTGATCCACCTGCCTCGGCCTCCCAAAGTGCTGGGATTACAGGCGTGTGCCACCACGCCCAGCCTTGGGTGTTTTTCTTTCAGCTCCTCCAGTACTTTCATACTATTCTAATAAATATATTTTGTTGGTATGAAGCTATGAAGCAAAAGTAGCTATTACCAATGCATACATACAGTACACTGGTTTTAAGTTCCACCTCAAAGTGAATCTTAGAGCCTGGTGTAAGTGCTCCACTTTAGAGATGTACCTTAATTACTACTGTATTTGCAAATTAAGGGAAATTTAGGTCATCATTTGATTTTCTGAAATCTAAAAGGAACTGACCATCATTACCAAGTCTTTCTAGATAATCAAGGGTAGATGGCTGTTTTTAATGTAGGAATTAATGTAGGCATTCCTGCTTTCAGGTTTAAGTATGAATCAAAGCATATTTTAATTTGCTAGTGCAAATGGACCCAGAATTGGAAGGGCTATGTAACTACACAGTATGCACACCACAGCCATGTCAGTGTCACAGATCCTCTTGTGCATTCAGCTTTCTTAAAAACACATCAAAGGCTGCAAAGAAGCTCAGAAAAAACTAAATTGAAGGACAGGTGGAATACAATGACTCTATGTGAGGAACTTGCCAACTCACATCTTTCAAAGCCAGATCAGCTTATATAGTACATGCATTATAGTCATATGAAATGTTGTCTTGGTGCTTTCTTCTTGGAGGACTATGGCAGCAGCTTTAAGACTACTAACAAAGATTATTACACAGGTCATCTTATCCACAGGCAAACTGCTTTGCACAACTAGAACATTAACAGTTGTTTTTAAGTTAAGTTCAGATGAAACTGTCACAAGACAGACTTGATGTATTTTATATATACTGGGAAACTTTAGAAACAGCCATTTATTATTTGGATTAAATGTGTGATGTGTTCTGCAATTTGGAATACACTTTTCAGTTTATAGCCAGTCTCCACATGAGCAGATTCATACCATTGCAATACACAGGAGTTCATAAATAAGATTCTACTCAGGTAGGCAGTAACTAGCAAGTTTTGAGTCAACAAAGTCTCAGTATTACATAGTTCTCTTCACCAAAGATGAGTCTCCCGGATTTCAGCAATAATTTGACTGGCTCCTTGTAATGCCTGCATTAAAGGAAAAAAAATTTTAAATGCTTATTATAAAGTTATGAAATTAATCTGAATTACGCAGGGTAATTTTTCCAATATATATGTGGTAGGTTTATAACTAACCAGTTTATACTAACCAATATCTTCTCTGGAATTAGAATCTAATCAAGTACCGGCCAGGCGCAGTGGCTCATGCCTGTAATCCCAGCACTTTGGGAGGTCGAGGCGGGCGGATCATGAGGTCAGGAGTTAGAGACTATCCTGGCTAACATGGTGAAACCCCGTCTCTACTAAAAATACAAAAAATTAGCTGGGTGTGGTGGTGGGCGCCTGTAGTCCCAGCTACTCGGGAGGCTGAGGCAGGAGAATGGCGTGAACCTGGGAGGCGGCGCTTGCAGTGAGCCGAGATTGTGCCACTGCACTCCAGCCTGGGCGACAGAGCCAGACTCCCACTCAAAAAAAAAAAAAAAAAAAAAAAAAGATTCTTATCAAGTACCAACAGGAAACAAGCCTAGCTAGAATATAAAGACTATACATATCCAAGAATCAAACTGCATTTAAAACTATTTCTATGTTTCTATCTACTACCCAAGTATAAAAAATCAAAAGGTCCACAATACCTTTAGCATATCAGCTGCTTCTTTCCTGCGCTGTGCCATGTCCTCAGATTCTGTCAGAAGATCATCCAATAAGGATGATTTATACAGCTGGCCTACTAGCTCACTCTGAAGAGTGTCTTTCACATGATTAACCAAAAAATGCATTACTGCCTTTGGCACACTGCAAAACACAACCAAATTATGGAATTTTAGCCAAAATTCTACTTTTAACAATTTGGGCTTAGATGCTAACCTCATGAAATAAAGTTAAGTAAGAACACTACTACTTTGGATATTTCATTAATGGCATAATCGCCCTTTAGATTTTTGCTTAACTGTAATTAAACATTAAGAAAAGCAGTTCTCGGCCAGGCGCAGTGGCTCATGCCTGTAATCCCAGCACTCTGGGAGGCTGACGCGGGTGGACTGCTTGAGGCCAGGAGTTTGACAGCAGCCTGGCCAACATGGTGAAACACCGTCTGCACTAAAAATAAAAAATTAGCTGAGTGTGGTGGCACATGCCTGTGATCCCAGCTACTCGGGAGGCTGAGATACGAGAATCACTTGAACCCAGGAGGTGGAGATTGCAGTGAGCCAAGAACGCGCCACTGCACTCCAGCCTGGGCAACAGAGTGAGACTGTGTCTCAAAAAAAAAAACAAAAGCAACAATTCTTGATACTTTACCTTCTTTTCATCATCTTTATTTCAAAACTCTTCAATAAGCATTTATTCATAATAGCCAAGAAGTGAGAAAAATCCAAACATCAGCTGATGAATGCTTAAACACAGTATATCTACATAATCTAGTATTATTCACACAAAAGATATGTCACTTAATGACACGGATATGCTTTGAGAAATGCATTATTAGGTGATTTCATTACATGCACAGCACAGAGTGTACTTACACAAACGTAGATGGTATAGCCTATGACACGCCTAAGCTATATGGGATAGCCTATTGCTCCAGGCTGCAAACATGTACAGCATGTTACTGTACTGAATAGGGAACTGTAACACAATAGTATTTGTGTATCTAAACATAGGAAATGTACAGCAAAAACATGGTATCATAATCTAACGGGAACACATTCAAATACGTGGTCTGTTGACTAAAATGTTATGTGGTGCGTGACTATACTGATTCATACTACAGTATGGATGAGGCTTAAAAACATTAAGTGAGCCGGGTGCAGTGGCTCACGCCTATAATCCCAGCACTTTGGGAGGCCAAGACAGGTAGATCACCTGACGTCAGGAGTTCGAGACCAGCCTGGCCAACATGGTGAAACCCGTCTCTACTAAAAATACAAAAATTAGCTGGGCATGGTGGTGCACACCTGTTATCCCAGCTACTCAGGAGGCTGAGGCAGGAGAATCGCTTGAACCCAGAAGGCAGAGGTTGAAGTGGGCCAAGACTGCGCCACTGCACCCCAGCCTGGGCGACAAAGCGAGACTCCATCTCAAAAACACCTTCTGCAGAGGATGGGGGCAAGGAAGGAAACAAATGGAATTTTTTTCTTCAGGCCCACAGTGTAAAACACTAGGAACTGTTATTTCTACTACAAGCTACGGGTTTAAAAAGTCTACAAGCAAAAAAGATAAATGGTTCTACAGACAAAAATCATTTATTTCAATATGAAGTATTAGACTGTTTATTACTCTGTGCAGTAAAATTCATCTTAGCTGCTGACAGATTACCAAAAACTGGATGCAGAATATTTTCTAATAGATCACTTCACACAACTAAATGTATATTCTCCCTATTACTGCATGAAATGACATACCAGGCAACATGAAGGAGAAGATGCAGTAGGGACTAGACACATGAAAAAACATTCTGAACGAGAAAAAATACACATATTTCCTAGTAAAAGACATTCGTTTTGATACTTTGGAAAACCAAGTTAAATTAAAAAGGCAAGTCAGTGTTACTAGCCAAAATAATTAATGAAACTACTAAATTAAAATTTAGGAAAAAGATTTTCTTAAATGACTCAAAATGTGGCAGCCAGATAGAACAAAAGAATCTCTCATTTTTAATAGCTTTTTCTAGCTGATACATGAGGTCCTAGTCATTCTATGTTAACAAAATGGGTCTTGCTACAAGTTACCCAAGGACTATCAGAAAATCCACTTGATGATTTAGAATAAAAACCTAAAATTGTAAAAATACATGTATTTTTCAAAACAGATCACAGAATCATCCAGAAGTATTAAAGTCCGTCATTTATATTAAGTAATACTAACCTGTCTTGAATATTCTTTCTGACAATGAGAAAATATGATTTAATGAGTCGTTCAATAACCTCACAATCTCGCTGTTCCCGAGCAGATAGTTTTCGTGCAACAGGAACTGGCTAAATAGGGATGAGGGGGAAAAAATATTACTTTTGTGACACTAAAATGGCAGCTTTAACATCTGAAAGTTATGTAAGTTTTTGAGACTTTTAGTTCTTTCTGTCTAATCGTTTTCCTACTAACTTGGTCACCTACCTTATTACCTAAACCAAATTGTCATGGCTTACCACATCTAGCAGGTTCACGGCATGACCTTTTTGTGGACTGGCTGGCATAATTGGAATGGGTTTTGATTTTTCTTCTGCTAATAACTCTTCAGCTTTTGAAGTTTTCAGCATTCCTCTCCAGTTGCCTGTGGTTGGTTCTTGAACACCATCTCCAACCCCACCACCTCCAGATGCAACCTGAAAAAACATGTTCCAAAACATACCAACCACATCATATCTGACCTTAACTAAAACAAAGTTCATTTTATTTGACAGTAGTCAATATACATCCAGTACCCATCTGAAGTTTATTCAGACAGATAATGAGGTCAGAAGGAGACACTAGGTAGCATGTATAACTGGAACCCTGACCTATCTAAATAATAAAGAAGTTCTGCTCTAAGTTGTTTGCAAGGCATCAACCAACTTATGTTCTATTTAATTCCTTTTTTCTTTATCATTCGCTAACTTTTCAAAATCGTTCCTCTTCTCCCACCCTTCAAACACTAAATTGTAGGAAAAGTATATGCTGCCCTTAAAAACAAAACTACTCGTTAAAAGCACAAAGAACTGCTATTCAGTTTAATTTCTTAAGTAATCATTAACACTGTTAAACTCTAAAAGTTCCATGAACTTACGTCTCTGAACTTAAGAGTTTATATGTTTCTCAATTTACATTTCTAATAGTCAACAAAAATGCCATAAGGTATAAGTAAGAACTCTTTAACAAAAAGCAAGACTACATTTGCTATTCTTAGGCTGACAGTCACTGTGAGTTGTTTCAAATGCGGAATGTGACAAACAACAGAAGTCCCCTCAACCTCTGTACTCTTAAGGATTTGCTGAAAGAAATCTAGTGCTACCATTAATCACAAGTGCTTTTGTACCTTGTTTTCTAGAAAATGTATTAGTCTTGACTTCTAAAAGTCAAAAATGACTTTATAATGGAAAAACAATTCATCAACATTTAAGAGGGTTTTTTTTAGGTATTCTTTAAGATCTTACAATCTAAAAATGGATTATATAAGTTTAATAGAGGATTATGGCAGTTAGAAAAATGGTAGTTTGAGGTATCATTCTGAATCAAAATATTTGCTAAAATCTGTCTTTAGTATGTCAGTTAAGGTGAACTACATTTAAATATAAGTAGTATATTTATGTTACACATTAACTTAAAAATGAGTAATTAGATTTTTAAATGTTTGTTAACTATACATGAATGACATACCAAATGAAATCTTAAGGAGAGAGAGCACATTCAGTGTGACGTCATGAATGAAATAAAACTTGTGCAGTGATTTAGATGGTTTGATTAATATCTGAGCACAGTGGGCTGAGAGAAGATAAGACATTTATAAACCTTTATTTGAAGTTCAGAACTTTAAATCTGGATAATTAAGGAAAGGAGCTAAATGGCAGAAAATCTTGAAATAGCGATGAGTCTGAATAATTTATACATTATTTAATTTTCCTCTAAAATGGTTATCAAGAATTGAAAACAGTCTCAAACTCTCACAGTCCCCATTTGTTTTTTTAATTTGCTTAAGCTTCTGAAGCATATGTGAAGCTATATATAGGGTAACAAGTGCAAACTAACTGGAAGCATAAGAAAGAAGCATTAGATCTATTAGTACTGAACAGATCTCAAGATCTTTAAAGAGGAAAGGAAATGTCCAAAAATACAATTCCATCTCTGAAATCTAGGAAATCTCTGAATTTCCTACCAAAATACTAAATTTAAAACTATTCTTGAAGGTAACAAAACAGTGAGAAAGCCTATTATTGTTACTAATTAAAACAACGTTTAATGCCATCTTCCACAGGTTAGATAAAAGGAACATTAAGAACATAACACAGACAAGAGATAGATACCACTACACAAACAGGTTCTTTAATGGTGGTATAGACAGTGTTTCAGTGAGAACCAAAGGTACCAACATTTCCATTCTGAAGCAAGAGACTCACATTTTTAGTTTCTCTTCTGCTGTCCTGAATTAACTGTTAAAAGATATGTTAAAACATGCAATTTAACAAGCAAAATTTAAATACCAATGGGTTGAAATTCAAAAAGTGCAGGATAATTTCCTCTTTAAATTACTTTTTCTGTGTGCATCTTCTATATTGCAAGCAAAAGCATGTCAACAATATAAACTATGCATTGCATTGTTATATAATTTTAAAATATATATTAGACTAAAGTGATCTGACCTTAGCACAGTATCCCATATTAATATTCTTCTATTCAGTGTATTGTTTCCAGAAGATTATGTTGTACCAGAGAACAAGGCATGCAGGCTTAGATTAAGAATCAGAACAGACCTTGCCATCAGCCTCAGCAGAAGCAGCGGGGGAGGGCTCCTGGGAGGCAGGTGCCAAAGCACTTGGAACTTTAGAAGACTAAAGGCAAAAAATCCAGGGGGGAAAAAAAATCAAGGATGCAAAAATGCATTCAGGAACATTCTATAAATGAATTTTTCCCTTCTGTAATGAAATCGTAAAATAACATGAAAGATGAAAATAATCATGGGAGATTGTTTATTCTGCCTTATTTCCTTCACCATTGTCACCTTTGTTAAAAGTTTCCTTCAGATGAATACATAAGAAAAATCCAAATCCAAAAGCTTCATTTTTATTTTTGGTATTTAATAAGATTCTTTTCTGGCAAAGAATTCAAGGTAAAAGATTTTTATACACACTTTAGTATTACAACTATTTTAATTATTACTAGTAATTAAAACCTCTGTTCTGTGCATACTGTTTTTTCCAAGAAACCCTCTTATTATAATAAAATCTTGAGTCATTTCAGCTATGTGCAAAGTTGATAAAGTCACTGACTGAATTTTTTTAAAAAGCTTGATGCTTAAATGCTTAAATAAATGCTTAAATCTACTTTTAAGCATTTATGTCAGTGAATTCAAAATACTATTATCTTTAAATCACTCAAAACCCATTTTAAACTTGTATGCCTTTACTCAGTTAGTTCCAATGGAGTGTTAAAGGGAGGAAAAGAAGAAAAAATTACTCCTAGGACTGAGTAATATTCTGAGCTCATCAATCTATCTTTAGGTATTGGGAATATGCATTAAAAACATTTTTTTACCTTGTCTCGTGATACAGCTGAAGGTAATTCTCTGGCTAGCCTGTTTCTCCTTTGTTCCTAAGAAACACAAGCAAAACAAAAGTGATTATCCAAGTATTGAGATATATGCCTACTAAAAAATGTTCATGTTAATTGAAAAGTGTGGAGTAACTTACAGATACATCCTCTCACTGTTGGGACTCATGCCATAATTATCATATTTTAAAATAAATAAGAAATCATTTAACCCAAAGCTTCTTAATCTTTTTTTTTTCTGCCCACACACCTGAAGGATACAATACACTGTCAGTAACAGTGGCTCCCTGTACTGGGGATTCTCAAATGAGGGGCAACAGACTGCCATCTTCTCCCCCTTTCCCACTAAGAAACAGTGATGTAAACTGTCCTCACATAAATGTGGAACGTGGTAAGCCTTCAACATAACCATGTGGAATTTGAAGTCCAGAGATCACAGAAAACTCCGCAAAGCCTTTAAAAGTCACTCTAACCTGAACACCTTTGTGTTAAACTCAAACAACTCCCCTCATAAAACCGTATCTTGAAGAAGTATCTGTGGTTGAGGTTATCCTATAAAAATGTTCCATTTCTTCCTCCAGGAAATAGTGTTGACAACTGCTAGTCCTTTCTGTAACCTGGCTAATTTAACACACTGATCAATTGCCTACTGTTCTAATTTGCTAATATTATCAAAGTAACTTGTACAAAGCTAAAGAAACTGACAAATTCAAATTAGAATGTCCCGAGCATCTGCTATATCCAAGCACCAAGATAGGTAAAAGATTATGAAAATATTGGCCGGGCACAGTGCCTCATGCTTGTAATCCCAGCACTTTGGGAGGCCAAGGTGGGCAGATCACTTGAGGGCAGTTCAAGACCAGCCTGGCCAAAATGGTGAAACCCTGTCTCTACTAAAAATATAAAAATTAGCCAGGCATGGTGCCGCACACCTGTAATCCCAGCTACTCAGGAGGCTGCGGCAGGAGAACTGCTTGAACCCAGGAGGCAGAGGTTGCAGTGAGCAGAGCTCATGCCACTGCACTCCAGCCTGGGCGACAGAGTGAGACTCTGTCTTAAAAAAAAAAAAAAAAAAAAAAGATTATGAAGATATAGAAATCTGTAGATGTTAATTAATGATGGATCTCTCACAGGCAGCATCAGATAAAGTAGAAACTATTTAGGTTAAAGTCACAATTGCTCCTAAGTAGGAAGTATTTCATGAACACAGTCCAACTTGCAAAAAAATATAAGTTAAAGCCTCACAATGATTTTGTTTTTGTTTTTTGTTGAAATGGAGTCTCGCTCTGTCGCCCAGGCTGGAGTGCAGTGGTGTGATCTTGGCTCACTGCAACCTCCGCCTCCTGGATTCAATGGATTCTCCCTGCTGCAGCCTCCCTACTAGCTGGGATTACAGGCATCCACCACCCCCGGCTAATTTTTCTATTTTTAGTAGAGACAGTTTTGCCACGTTGGCCAGGCTAGACTTGAACTCCTGACCTCAGGTGATCAGCCTGCCTCGGCCTACCAAAGTGCTGGGATTACAGGCATGAGCCACCGCACACAGCCCACAGTGATGTTTCATGTGTAATAATTTTTTTTGACAGAAATTTGACCCAATTTTATTTTTTCATGGGCGGGTATTCAGTAATAAAAAATAACAGATAATAAAAGTATAGATATTAACAATCTTCAAAATAAAAAATTAGCATGATAAAATGTACATTTTGAACAGGGATACAAAGCAAAAGGCCACGGTATCTAGAATTCTCACCCTAGTCTGTTACTAACCAGTTATGATCTGAGCTGCTCCTGGACCCCAGCAGATGTGGAGTACCTGCTTTGCTAACTGGACAGCTTACCAACTATTTTGAAGCCCTAGTGTCCTAATCTGTTAATGACATGATCTGCCCTCAGGGTATGGTAAAGATTAAATGAAAATATCCACATAAAGTTCTCTGGCACAGTCATTAAAACCAGAAACCTATTCATTTGTAGAAAAATACTAATCTGAAATCATATCACATATGACCTTGTCAGTGTAACAGAACTACCGCAAACACAAGTTTTTCATGATGTTAGTTTCAATGTAAAAAAAACTAAATCCTTTAAGTGTCTACATGCTAATTTTTAACATAACTGTGATCTGGCCTACTTTCTGAGTGTTTTGAAGTGCCTACTCATGTATGCATTTTGGAATTTTTTCTGATAACAGGAATCACCCCCAGCTATGTAACCAAAAATTAGTTCCCTATACCTGTGTTAAGAAGGTGCTTGCTTCCTATAATAGTGCCCTGCAAAATAAGCACCAAAGGAATAACTGCTATCTGTAAGCCTCAAGCTCCCCAGTTTTTTTTTAAGATGGAGTTTCGCCCTTGTTGCCCAGGCTGGAGTGCAATGGCGCGATCTCAGCTCACTGCAACCTCCACCTCCTGGGTTCAAGTTGATTCTCCTGCCTCAGCCTCCCTAGTAGCTCAGATTACAGGCACCTGCCACCAAGCCCGGCTAATTTTTTGTATTTTTAGTAGAGACGGGGTTTCACCATGTTGGCCAGGCTGGTCTCAAACTCCTGATGTCAGGTGATCCACCTGCCTTGACCTCCCAAATTGCTGGGATTACAGGCATGAGCCACCACGTCTGGCCACCCCATCTGTTTTAACCAGAGTTGAAGTCAATAACACAGGATCCCTTCCAGCTTCTGAATTGCATGTTTACAATTTTCTCACCATGGATATGCAGAAGAGGAAATTTGGTATAGCAGGGGACTCAGGTCTTACTGAATTAGGGAGTAGCAGAA